>NC_000003.12:129160119-129311634 GCF_000001405.40 Homo sapiens | reverse complement strand
GGGCAGGTGGGAGCAGGCCCCTGCTAGAAGCTACCATAGTGGGCCTATCTCCACTATGATCTTTGGGTCTGGGGCAAGCAAGATTGTTCTCCCCAAGTCTCAGTTTCCTCATACGTAAATGGTGCTAAGAAAGACTTAAAAATCATTCATCTGCTAACTAGGCAGAGTCTGATCACACTGTCTCTGGCCAAGACCTCCAGCCTCTGCACCCCCAATCCCTTGAATCCCCCTGGGGTTAGCACCCTATCTGTCGCCAGGGCTACTCTGCTTGCGATGTTGCCTCCTCCCTGTGAGCCTCAACATCTCACCTCTGCCTTCTGGGTCCCCCAATCTGCCTTCTCCCTGGCCCCAGGACAGCTCTGCAGACACTGCAAAGGCCCCATCCCAGGGTGTGTAGCCTTAGTGACTGGTAGAAAGGGATCTCCACTCAGTCAATGTCCCTAGACCAACCTGGTCTAAAGCTGTCTGTCTGCCAGGGCAGGGCTTGGAGCTGAGCACAGGGACTGTTGGGAAGGGTCTGAGCTCTTAGCACAAGGGGTACTGCTATCTCACTGTCCCAGTCATCAGATCTTGGGTGATGTGGCCCAGGGCATATTAGCTCTTCCAGCAGCTCCACCAGTTATGAGGAGGCAAAGAAGTCCTGGCTCTCCCCACAGCAACTGCTGTTAGGGCTACTCACACTTGCAAGCTGGGGGCGGTGATACTTGCAGAGGTATGGGAGAACAAAACATCTCATATGCCAAGGGGTTAGTCCACAGTCATTCATTCAACACCTACTGGATTGGGCCCCTTCTCTTGGACTGTGCCAAGCTAGGGGTGAATGGGAGCAGAGGCAGCGATGGGACTCAGTCACTTGCAGGAGAAGGACAGATAAACCAGAAAGTTCCTGGTAGGGACATTCCAGACTGGAAGCCCCACAGTAGCACAGGCTGCTGGGTTTGGGGAATGGTGAAAGGTGTAGTGGTAAAAGCAGTGGGGGCAATGTGACAGGGCATGAGGCCGGAGAAGTCAGCAGGGCTTCAGGTTCCCATGTCAACTCAATGGAGAAGGAAAACCAGGGAACTGGCTTGCACAATTGTAGGGGCTGATTAAGCAGTTTCTGTAAGGCTGTATCTCCAAGACTGACGGAGCTTGAAGTCCACAGGCAGGTGGTCAGGAGGGGAACACCATGAGCACATGAGCATACTGAAACCCCACTAGCACAGGGAGGACCCGTGACAACAGACTGAAACCTGTGTCTATTCTTTTTGTCTCTGACCTCACTGATGAAGGTAGAAGCTGGAACCCTTAGCCACAGAGCTAGACGTGCACACACCTGCCCCAGGAGTCAGAAAAAACTGAAGGAGAGTCCGGGAAAAGCACAGCAATTGCAGGTCCAGGTGCTGCTTCATGCCAATCAGGTGAGTCAGCAGATCAGCAGTCCAAATGGTTGCTTCCTTCCAAATCTGATGAGAATCTGCCTCCTGGCCCACCCTGATGGAAAATATACTAGTCAGGGAGTTCTGGAAAATATGGTTCAGCCAGGCCAAGTTGGCATGTTACAAAGCCCTCCCAATTCCACAGTTAAAAATGGGTGTGGGGGGTGGTGAGGAGGGCTTCCAGACCAGGTAGAGCATTCTAGCCAACTGGAAGACACAGACTCCACCTGAAGAGGGGCAGTGACTACCCAGCTCTTACTGATTGTTTTCAGAGCTTCCCAGTTTTCCAAATAATGTTAGAAGAAGCACCTCCTGAAAGTTTCCAAGTCCCTCTCTGGAGGCTGGGAGTGGTCTGGCCATGCAGGGAGGAATGGGGTAGGGTACCTCAGTGCAGCAGTGGTCCTACATGGGGCCTGGTTGTCGGAGGCACCTCCTCAAAATTTTTGAAAGTGGAAACTAAACTATTTTCTGAAATTTCCCATTATTTTAAAATATGGACTTAAAAAACACCCCATACCCATTAGAATGGCTACTATGAAAAAACAGGGCTGGGCATTGTGACTTACACCTATAATCCCAGCACTTTGGGAGGCCAAGGTGGGAGGATCACTAGAGCCCAGGAGTTCAAGACCAGCCTAGGTAATATAACGAGACTCCCATCTCTACAAAAAATACAAAAATTAGCTGGGCATGGTGGTGTGTGCCTTTAATCCCAGCTACTCAGGAGGCTGAGGTGGGAGAATCGCTTGAGCCCAGGAGATGGAGACTGCAGTGAGCCAAGATCGAGCCACTGCACTCCAGCCTGGGCAACAGAGCCAGACCCTGTCTCAAAAAACAAAAAACAAGCAAACAAACAAACAAAAAAAAACACAGAACATAGAAAGTGTTGGCAAGGATGTGGGGAAACTGGAACACTTTTGCACTGTTGGAAGGAATGTAAAATGGTCCAACCGCTATGGAAAACAGCATGGCAGTTTCTCAAAAAATTAAATATAATTACTATGCAATCCAGCAATTCCACTCATGGGTAAATGCCCCAAAGACTGGAAAGCAGTGATGAGAAGAGCACATCCATGTTCATAGTAGCACTATTCACAATAGCCAAGAGGTGGAAGCAGCCCAAGGGTCCATTGACAGATAAGTAGATTTTTAAATATGTGATCTACCCATACAATGGAATATTATTTGGCCTTAAAAAGGAAGGAAATTCTGACCCATGCTACAACATGGATGAATCTTGAGAACATTATGCTGAGTGAAAATAGCCAGTGACAAAAAGACAAACACTGCATGATTCCACTTAAATGAGGTATCTAGAGTAGTCAAATTCAGAGATAGAAAGTAGAATGGTGGTTATCAAGGGCTGAGGGGAGGGAAATATGGGGAGTTGTTTAACTTTCAGTTTTGCAAGATGAAAAAGGTTCAGAGATTGGTTGCACAACAATGTGAATACAATTAACAGTATTGAATGTATATTTTAAAATGTTTGGCCAGGCACAGTGGCTCACGCCTGTAATCCCAGTACTTTGGGAGGCCGAGGCGGGCAGATCACCTGAGCTCAGGAGTTTGAGACCAGCCTGGCCAACATGGGGCCAACAAACCCCATCTCTACTAAAAATACAAAAATTATCTGAGCATAGTGGTGGGCACCTGTAGCCCCAGCTACTCGGGAGGCTGAGGCAGAAGAATCACTTGAACTCGGGAGGTGGAGGTTGCAGTGAGCTGAGATCTTGCCACTGCACTCCAGCCTTGGGGGCAGAGCAAGACCTCTGTCTCAAAAAAAAAAAAAAAAAAAAAAAAAAAAAAAGGCTAAGATGGCAGATTTTATGTCACATGCATTTTACCAGAATTAAAAAATAAATATATATTGTATGGGCCAAACAAAATCACTGTGTGAGCTAAATGTGGCCTGAAGTCCCCCAGCTTTGAGATTTCACAACTGGATCTTCTATGAGGACACTTCTGGCCACTTCACAAGACAAGAAGCCCCAAATGATGATGTCCTGAAGGGGACTCAACCAAAGGTAGCCATACACTAGTGAAAGCCAGAGACCTATCTGCCAGTGCTGAGTGTCTACACCTGGGTAACAACCTCTCCATAGAGGGTTGTCATTAGGACCCCAGAGCCTTGCCCAGTGCACCTTATAAATATGCCCTCCCAGAGGCTCCTTTTCTTGCTCGCCTCTTCTTGGCTCTCCCAACCCCTATCCTTCTTCTGGCTGCCTTGGTTAGGGACTGTGAAAGACTCTGCCTTTTACAACTTTCTGTGGTAGGACAGGGGTTTGGATGGTGCGGTGGTTCACACCTTTAATCCCAGCACTTTGGGAAGCCAAGGTGGGAGGATTGCTTGAGCCCAGGAGTCTGAGATCAGCCTGGACAACATAGTGAGACTCCCATCTCTACAAAAAATATGAAAATTAGCCGGGTGTGGTGGCATGCGTCTGTAGTCCCAGCTACTTGGGAGGCTGAGATGGGAGAATCACTTGAGCCCAGGAGGCAGAGGTTGCAGTGAGCCAAGATCGTGCCACTGCACTCCAACCTGGGTGACAGAGCAAGACCTTGTTTCGGAAAAAAAAAAAAGTTCTGTATGTACTGAGGACCCTCTCAGGCAGACAGTACTCAGAGGAGCCTGAGCCAAAGCTCCTATCCCCAGGGAATGAGGTTCAACCCTTCCCATCACTTGTTCCTCACTCTGGTTGAGAAGAAAGAGGCCCAGGTAAGAATGGGGAGCTCCTACAGGCCCAGGTAGGAATCTAGGAGTCTGAGACCTCCCTTACTGCCTCTGGTTCCCCCCACGACACCCACCCTCCAGACTCTTCTTGGCTACAAGCAAGATCTCATCCAACTTCCCCAAGCTGATACACTACTCCCAAGCCAGGAGTCCCGTGGACTTGTCCTTAACTTACCTATGTCAAGCCATATGCGCTTGCCTGGGTCTGTTTCCACCTCTATACAAAGCAGGTTTGGCTTTAGGCATACAAGCCTTGCATGAGACAATGGATCAAGATGGACTTGCAGACAGGACTGAGGGGCAGGCACCTGTATCCATCAGGACCAGAAATCCCAGGGACCCTCTGCCTCCTCTAAGGCTACAGTGCAGGGAAGCATACCCTTAAGACTTAGAGCCAAGCCTGGTCACTGCTAGAGGGTGAAAGGGAGGGAGGTGGGAAGGACTGCTATCTGGGAGCCAAGCAGAGGGGCCAGATGGCCACATCCTAGGCCTGCCCCCACCTGCGCCAGAGATTGGTAGAGGGCCTGGCTCCACCTGGCCACACCTAGACAGGCAGGTGGGAGCTACCCTGTTTGGTCCAGATTTGACTAAGAACAAAAGACGGGAAGATGTTCCATTGCTCTAGTAAGCAGGATTAAATGTTGGCAAGGTGGGAAAATGAAGATTCTTATGCCCCTGAAATATGTGAAAATTTGGAGAGCAATTTGGCAATACCTAGTAAAGCTGATGACTTAGAGAAAAAGAAGTTGCAGAATGCCCAAGATGATACCATTTATGTAAACCTGAAACTCATAAAATGATACTGTATGCTCTCAGACATAAGGATTTGCTTTTTTTTTTTTTTTTTTCTGAGACAGAGTCTCACTCAGCTGCCCAGGCTGGAGTGCAGTGGCGTGATCTTGGCTCACTACAACCACCGTCTCCCGGGTTCAAGCGATTCTCTTATCTCAGTCTCCCAAGTAGCTGGAATTACAGGCACCCAACGTCATGCCCGGCTAATTTTTGTATTTTAGTAGAGACAGGGTTTCACCATGTTGGCCAGGCTGGTCCTGAACTCCTGGCCTCAGGTGATCCACCTGCCTTGGCCTCCCAAAGTGCTAGGATTACAGGAGTGAGCCACCTCGCCCGGCCAGGATTTGCTTCTAACATCACGTTTATATGAAAGTATAAAAACTTGAATGAAAAGGAAACAAGCCCCTGCAGGCATTATATTCTTTCATGTTAAAATGAAAAGACCTCACCAAACTAATTTGCAACCATGAGAAACAGTGGGGAGATGATAATGAAAAACAAAGGGAATTTCATTTTTGTCATTTATTAACCTGGAAGCAAATATGACAAAACAGTCATACTAGTAAGTCATCTGAATTTTTTAAATCTCTTAATAAAACAACCAAATCCCACGCAAATCAGTCCACAAGGGAGGCCCCCGCCTCCACAGTGCAGGGTGACTGAGTGTACAACTACGGGCCAACCCCCGCCTCTCAACCGGAAGGGAGGGCACTCAAAAGAGGAATTTAGAGAAAAGGCGGAGAGGGCGGACCTCGGGAAAGGGTCTGGGCGGGAGCCCCACCTGGCTCCCCACCCCTCCCGAAACCAGGGGAAAAGCCTGTGGCGTGGCGCTGCTGTCTCCCATTAGCAGTTACAGGGCCGAGGCTTCCCGCTGATTGGTGGAAATTCCGATCTTCTGATCCCTGATTTGCATAGAGACTGGGGCCTGCACCCCCGCCCCCCACCAGCAGCAATCGGCCAACGCCAACGGTGCTGCGCCAGGAGCGTTCTGGGCTCGGCGCCGCCCAGTCCTCCTGGTCATCTCGGAAGCTGTTTTCTTCCAGCTGCTTGGGACAGCTTTTGTGAATGCCTCCCTTAGGGATGTTCGAAAGAGGAGTGGCCCGACACTGCTAGAAACTGGTCCTTTCCTTCCCACCTGTGGTAAGGATAGTTTCTGCTACGGCAAGCACTCAAACTCAGGCTGGTTTGAAGCTAAAGGATTCAGACGACTTCCAAGTATCAAGAATGAAAGAAAAAGAAACATAATAAGGAGCCCACCACCAAGACTTGTAGTTATTTCCTCAGAAAGCCCCCATGCCCCATTTGTGACAAAATCCATTCCTGAAGACTGATTCTAGAAGAAACCAAGTAAGATCTAGAACTTTCCCCACCAGCATCACTTTCCAAAATGTAGGCAGAAGTTTACCAAATACAATTTATTCAGGAAAAAAATAAATTTTAAGAACTTATTTTTATTTTATTTTAGAACTTAAAAATAAATTTTTAAGAACTAAAAAAGTGAAAGAGCCCAGTGGCTGAGCAGAAAACAGCTTACTACAAGGAGTACCAGATCAGGGCAGAGACTTCCCAGCTGGGTAAGGCATGCTTTGAGGGAAGACTCCACCAGCCCTGCCAGGAAAGGGCAGCAGGCGCAGTGCCCCTATGGGGCCCACATGGCTGGTAACAGCAGCAGGACACCTCTTCCAAAGCTGTCCACCAGCCCCACTAGGGGCTCCTACTCATGGCAAAAAAGACTACATGAGCCCACAACTGTCAACTAACACAGTGCCACCTCCTCCCAAAGCAAACACATATACATACAATGTTAAGAACCTATTATCAGAACAGCAGTGCAGCAGACCCTGGCCTTGGTCTCTGAAAGTCCTGTGTCACTGGCTGTAAGGACGCTTGGCCACAGGTTCCTCCTCCTTCTCCCGCTTCAGCCATTGCTCTAGGAGTCCTGCAGTGCCTCTCTTGGTGGGGAGTGGACTCTTCTGCAGGAACTGACTGGACCACTGGGGAACATCTGACTCTTCCTTTTGAGGTGTTTTTGAGTCTTCCTTTTTGGGTGACTTTGTGGCCAACCACTGCAACATCCTCTGGCTACTGCCACTTGCCCTGAGCTCCTACAAGAAAGAGGAAAAAGCTCAAACCATACAGCTCAAGCTTTTGGGAAAAGGCCAAGTCCAAGGGAAGAAACAGGGGAAGAGGCATTAGGTACTTACCCAGGCTTGGAAAATGTTACTAAGGGCCAGCTGGGGCCCACCAGTCAAGAGTGGAAAGAGAGGAGTGTGCTCTAAGGGGCAGGAAAGTAGATCTTAGAGAAGGTTTCACAGAGGATTGTGTGGGACCAGCCAGAGAAGAGAGCTGAAAGGCATTCCAAATGTGCAGAGAATGAAGCATTCTCAGGGAAAAGAATGTAATTCAGCATGACCCAGGGGGAGTGTTGGAAAACGAGACTGGAGAGATACAGAAGAATTTCTAACAGCCACTGTGATAAGGCTAAATTGTTTCCTCTTTGTGCAGACAATCTGTACAACCTCTTCTTGACTGTCACTACTCCCTTCTGCTTCCTTTACATCACACCCCAATCCTGAACTGAAAGGTTCTGAATTAGCACAATGCCACCTCTCCAGAATGTGACATCTTTTGGAGTAAACACCATGGCAGGGCTAGGTACAGTGGTGCATGCCTGTAATCCCAGCACTTTGGGAGGCTGAGGTGGGAAGATCGCTTGAGCCCAGGAGTTTGAGACCAGCCTAGGAAACATAGGAAGACCCCATCTCTATAAAAAATTTAAAAAAATGAGCCAGGCATGGTGGTGTACGCTTGTAGTCCCAGCTACCTGGGAGGCTGAGGTGGGAGGATCATTTGAGCCCAGGAGTTCGAGGCTGCAGTGAACTATGATCATGCCACTGCAGTCTAACCTGGGCAACAGAGCATGACCCTGTCTCTAAAAAAGAAAAAGGAAAAAAAAAAAGACCATGGCAGAAATGGGCAGCGTCTAGTCCAAAATGAATACAGGTTGAGCATCCTAACCCTGAAAATCCAAGATCCAAAATGCTCCAAAATCCTAAACTTTTTAAGTGCTTACATGACTTTGAAAGGAAATGCTTGTTGGTACATTTCAGATTTAGGATATTCGGCTAGGAAGTATATAATGCAAATATTCCAAAATTTGAAAAAATTCAAAATCTAAAACACTTCTGTTCCCAAGCATTTTGGATAGGGATATTCAACCTGTATATAGAATTAGTTTTAGAGTTATCTAATTTTTAAAAAGTGCCACGGTTGCAGGAGTTTATCAGAATCAAAACAAAAGAAAAAAAGATGACACTGTGGGTATGGAAAAAACTTTAAGAAAAATAGAGAGGGGGACAGCTGTTCTTACAATCATCCTTAACACGGCATTCTAAAATGTCTATTCTTGGAACATTCCAAGTATGTCCTATTTTAAGTCCCTCCATGCCACCTAAAAACAATCACTACTCCTAAATCCTTACCCCCAAATGTCAGTGGGGGCCAGCTTTTTGCTCTGGAACTTCTCTCCCCACTGCAGGCCTTCTGTTTGTTTGCCTTCCCTTCCTAAAATACACCCTCTGGATCCTTGCTGATTCTAAGAAGTTAAGGTTCATGGTAGGAATGCTCTCAAATCCTCCTGAAGGAGACTAAGGACTGGAGCTCCTGCAACTTGTAGTTCGGAAAGCAAAGATACAGAAAAGAGACACCAAAAATCATGGTTGGGGACGGAGAAACAATATGGTCAAGGGCTCCTTTGTCTTTTTCACCATCACTGTCTAGATTAGGAGTCCTCAAATGTGGTTTATCAGACTCATCAAAGAAGCTTTTTTTTTTTTCCTTTTTGTGGAGAACGGGGTCTCACTATATTGCCCAGGCAGGTCTGGAACTCCTCAGGTAAAGCTACCCTCCCACCTCTGCCTTCTAAGTGCTGGCATTACAGGCATGAGCCACTGCACCCAGCTGAAGCTTCTTTTTTTTGAAACGCAGTCTCGCCCTGTCACCAAGCTGGAGTGCAGTGGCCCAATCTAGGCTCACTGCAACCTCCACCTCCCAGGTTCAAGTGATTCTCCTGCCTCAGCCTCCCAAGTAGCTGGGATCACTACTTGGGACGGGCCACCACACCCAGCTAATTTTTGTATTTTTAGTAGAGACGGGGTTTCACCATATTGGCCAGGATGGTCTCGATCTGTTGACCTCGTGATCCACTTGCCTCGGCCTCCCAAAGTGCTGGGATTACAGGCGTGAGCCACTGCGCCCAGCCTGAAGCTTCTTAATTATACAAAAGTCCAAGCCTAGCTCTAAATGTTGATTCAGGATGTCTAGATAGGGTCTAGCATTTACATTTTGAAAGAGTTCTTCTCCTGGGGACTCTGAGTCACAGCCAGGTTTGAGAATTGCTGCTCTACACTACCTTGCTGTGTACAAGGAGTATGAGAGCTTTTGATGGTCCAAATTAAAGGGCTGATCATAAAAGGCCACATCCTGAAAGAAAGAGAACACTGACAGAAGACAGAAAGCTCAAAAAGGACTGTACCAGTCACAGGCCCCTACCTTTTTGACCACCAAGTCGACAGGAGCCAGACACTCAGGAGTGTTGTTTCGCGAGTTGTTCACCACAGAAGAGACTGCATGGAAGGTGATGTTCTCTGTTGGGTGGATTAATTTCAGAGCTTCCTGAGTTGAGACTTCACCAAAGTCAAGCCATTTAGAAACTGCCTCCTCTCCATCTAATATGGCAGGCATCCTGGCCAGGGAAGTTAAGACAATGGTTGGGAGAGGTAGCATGAGAATAAGGAGAGAAGGGAGAGAGACTTGAGTCAGCTGATACCTCAAATATCACAAGGGGAGCTTGCCCTCCCTCTGCGCCTCACATGCTGATTGCTGCCATGTGTTCCCTGAGCACAGGGTGACAGGGCACCAGATTCAACACCTGGAGAGCCATGTTATAAAGTTTCATGGCAAAGACAGTGAAGAGTACTAACTGGTCTAGTGTACTCCAGTGTCCACTCTAGTAAATTGGTAAACTTTCTATGACACCCCAGCCTAGAATGAAGGGAAAATAGATCTTGAAAACTTGTCTATCAACAGCAATCTCAAGCCTCACCACCTCTGAAAGACTTACAGTAAGAAAATTGTGAACAAAAGGAAGCCATGCGTCAGAAAAGCAGAGAAGCTGTCAAACATGACTCCTGGTACCCAGAGGATGTAAGGAAAATATACTAGGTTTAGCTTCCAGTTTTATGTCCCAGGCCAATGCAGTGTGGCACACACTTTTTGGGTGGTACAGTTGATTCAGATACAGACAAATGTTCATTTGTCTCCTAAATATATACATAACATATAAAATAATGTTAAATACTGTAATGTATAAAATAATGGTACATTTTTAAATGAATGGTGATTTAGATTAAATGAAATATAATTTTTAAAGGTTAATTACTAAAAGAGAACTACATCACATGAAAGCATATTTTTTTTTTTTTCTTCTTTTTTTTTTTTTTTGAGACAGAGTCTTGCTGTGTTGCCCAGGCTGGAGTGCAGTGGCGTGATCTCCACTCACTGCAAGCTCCACCCCCCGGGTTCATGCCATTCTTCTGCCTCAGCCTCCTGAGTAGCTGGGACTACAGGCACCCACCACCATGCCCGGCTAATTTTTTTTTTTTGAGATGGAGTCTCACTGTGTTGCCCAGGCTGGAGTTCAATGGCATGATCTCGGCTCATTGCAAGCTCCACCTCCCGGGTTCACGCCATTCTCCTGCCTCAGCCTCCCAAGTAGCTGGGACTACAGGCAGCCGCCACCACGTCTGGCTAATTTTTTGTATTTTTTAGTAGAGACAGAGTTTCACCGTGTTAGCCAGGATGGTCTCGATCTCCTGACCTCATGATCCACCCGCCTCAGCCTCCCAAAGTGCTGGGATTACAGGTGTGAGCCACCGCGCCTGGCCATTTTTTTGTATTTTTAGTAGAGATGGGGTTTCACAGTGTTCGCCAGGATGGTCTTGATCTCCTGAACTCGTGATCCACCCACCTCGGCGTCCCAAAGTGCTGGGATTACAGGTGTGAGCCACTGCGCCTGGCCACATGAAAGCATATTTTCACAGATATAGCCTAGGACAAGGCTAAAGCAGGTAATCCTGACAGGTGTCACACTGCATTCTTTTCAGGAGAACTCCAAAAAATCACTTCAGGGAGTACTCAGCTCTGGCAGAAAGTATAAAGGTAGAATACAAGTATAGTCAGTTCTGCCAATGCTTATGTTTAAAATGCAAATCTGTTCCAATGCCACTGATACAGTAGAGAGCAATTGGAGCACAATGCAAATTTTGTGTTTGCTTATGCACAGTTTCATCTGTGAGAAACACAAGGTGAACACAGAAAACTGCACCCAGATGAACTGAGCCACAAAATGCACCCATCTCAAACACTGACTGCTACTTTGGCTCACTGCATACTATTTTACAAAATTGTGTTTTGCTCTTCTTTTGCCTTTCTGAACTTTTCTATATATATATATATATATATATATAAAGATGCACATTTAACATCTCAAACATGTCTAAGCTTCCTGGCTCAAAACATGGTAGGCAATGCATGTGAATGGAGACATTTTAAATATTGAAAAGAAGCTTGAAATAGTAAAAGATCCTGGAAGAAAAATGAGAACATGTGATTATTTCCTGAGCAAAGGATATCAAGGAGTCCACATCAGTGATGATGCTACAAAAAAAAAATGACCATGGCTGGAACAACTTCAAGAAGTACTCCAGCCAGGCGCGGTGGCTCACACCTGTAATCCCAGCACTTTGGGAGGCCGAGGCAGGTGGATCACAAGGTCAGGAGATCTAGACCATCCTGGGTAACATGGCGAAACCCTGTTAGCCAGGCGTGGCGGCGTGTGCCTGTAGTCCCAGCTACTCGGGAGGCTGAGGCAGGAGAATGGTGTGAACCCAGGAGGCAGAGCTTGCAGTGAGCCGAGATCGCACCACTGCACTCCAGCCTGGGCGACAGAGTGAGACTCTGTCTCAAAAAAAAAAAAAAAAAAAAAGAAGCACCTATAAGGTTCATACAAAAAATATATAAATAAGGCCTATATATAAATAAAATCTTAAATACCACAAGTGGCTCCTTTTAGTGCTAGTAGTGGTTAGTTTACTGGTTTCGAACATGGCGACAATTTTCAAAGCTTTCTGCTATTGGGAGAAGCCACAAGTACAGATGAAAATGCGCTAAAGAATTTCTAGCAGTGATACAGAAGTTAATTGGAGGAGAAGGCTATACATTGAATCAAATATTCAATTTTAATTAAATAGCATCTATTACAAATGCATGCCTCAAAGGAAATACGTTCATAGGAGGAAAACTGTGCCCCAGGATTTAAGACTGCAAAAGATAAAAAATTTTACATAACCTTCCTTCCACAACTTCACAATAACTCATGAGATGCATTTCTTCCAACACTCACTTCCACAAGCAACAAGCAAACTTCAGGTCTTGTCGAGGTAAAGTGCCATATTTATTGTAGTATGTATGTATGTATGTATTTATTGAGATGGAATCTCACTCTGTCACCCAGGCTGGGGTGCAGTGGCACGATCTTGGCTCACTGCAAGCTCCACCTCCCGGGGTCACACCATTCTCTTGCCTCAGCCTCCCATGTAGCTGGGACTACAGGAGCCCGCCACCATGCCCGGCTAATTTAGTTGTTGTATTTTTAGTAGAGACGGGGTTTCACCGTGTTAGCCAGGATGGTCTCGATCTCCTGACCTCGTGATCCACCCACCTCAGCATCCCAAAGTGCTGGGATTACAGGCGTGAGCCACCGTGCTCAGCCTGTAGTATTTATTTATTTCTTAACCACCTAACATGTATAAAACAGTGCTACTGTTTTATTAGGTTTCCATTATTTTTTTAATGTGTCACTGACAACATTTTAAGTGTTGTCTCCTTAACCCCACTTTTCCCCTAAGTTATTTGGTTTTTATTCTATCGTTTTGCATAGTACAGTGATTTTTAGGAATGTATGTCATGTTAGAGTCAAACTGATTGTAACTTTACGTTGTAAAATGACTTGGTTTCCTACTCTCTAAAGCTACCTAAAAGCAGAGGACAAATCATCTTTTGGATCCTTTTGGATCCAGGGCTAAGAAGTATGACTTGCCTGTGGTGGATGTCACTCAAGCCTTTGCAGGAATCCACTGTGATGATGGTATAGGAATACAGGACATCTCCTCCCTCTGGGGGCTCCCAGCAGTCAAAGATCCCGGCCATTGTCAGCAGCCTCCAGTTGTCCCAGACTTTCTCCCAGTTCTCAGGACTATCTGCAGCACCAATGCTACCTGACTGGAAGCAAAATATATGGGCAGATTAGATGCACTCAGCAGACTTCTTCTACATGCAGGTTAGGTACTACTTCAGACTCGAGAGCACGGAAATCATTTTAAAAGTAATTCAGCCCACGTCTTATTAACCCCTCTGTCACCAAAGGAAAGAAGGTTGGTGGCAAATGCCAACTGAAGCTATAGATTCATGGCTCCTTAATACTTTCAGAATTTAACACCTTCACTGGACATTTAGGCCTTCCGTGAACTGGCCCACCATTCTAGCTATTACTTACATTGTTAATTTGAACCCAAACCAGCTGTTGGTAAATGAAGCTCTCATGCAATTTCATGCTCCTGTGTCTTGCTGAAGCAACCTTCCTCTGCCCAAAATGTCCTTCCCACCCTTTCTTAATTGAATTGAATTTCATGCCAATTCCTAATTGCCATTCAAAATTCAATTCAAGGACTAAAATGTAGAAAGCTGGAAAGAACGTCACTTCTATTCTAACAATAAGAAAAAAGCTGGATAATATGCAAAATTATAACTTTTCTTAAACTCATCAGAGAGGTAAGTCGATCAATTTCCCTGAAATTTAAGAAAAGACAAGGTCCTCCAAGGGGCAATGGGACACAAGTACTGGCTTATTGGCAGCATCAGGAGGGAGACACAAGCCTTCATACAACCAGGTTAAGAATTCAGATAATGTTATTATCACATTTCTACAAGCAGCGTACAGGCTAGCAGGATAGTACAGAATCCCTAGGAGCTGCAAACCTCAGAGGAGTTTGCACCAGCTCACAGGCTTTTCTCCTTGGACTTTGCCAGTGCTCGAAAAAGACGGCACAGGGCAGGAGCCTGGAGGAAGCCATCCTCACTGTTGAATACCTTAAAGGCAAGCTCCTCTGCCTCACCTAATCACTTTTCCCCTAAGGAGCAAAAGTCTTAAGCTGCCAGGGAAACGGTAATAATAATAATCCCTGTCACGCCTAGGAATCAGGTAAAGACCCACAGAGGCTGGGGAAGGAGAAAAAGAAAAAGCCCCCTACGCCCTGGGGAAGACTGAGTCAGAGAGCCACATCTGCTTAAGATAGACTGAACGGAGAACTGCCTCCACCCGTTTAGCCGACAAACATTAAGTGACAAGCAGAAGCAGTCTACTTCTGGAAGAGGGAAAAGGGCACAAGAAAGACCATGTCTAAGGCACAGGCTCACAGGAAAATCCAACAACTGAAGAGAGGAGGGCTGCTGAGAAACCCTCTGGAAAGTCAATCCTTACCCTAAACACTGGATAACACCAGAGCACTTGAAAGCCTGTGTCAAACAAAGGCACTGTAGCCTGGTCGTGGTGGCTCATGCCTGTCATCCCAGCACTTTGGGAGGCCGAGGCAGGCGGATCACGAGGTCAGGAGATCGAGACCATCCTGGCTAACACGGTGAAACCCCGTCTCTACTAAAAATACAAAAAATTAGCTGGGCCTGGTGACGGGCGCCTGTAGTCCCAGCTACTCGGGAGGCTGAGGCGGAGCTTGCAGTGAGCCGAGATCGCACCACTGCACTCCAGCCTGGGCAACAGAGGGAGACTCTGTCTCAAAAACAAAAACAAAAACAAAACAAAGGCACTGTAATGAGAACAAAGCCCAAACCCAGTTCAATTCCTGACAAGACTGACTTAACCCCATATATTAATGGCCTAATAGAAGAATTTCCAGACATAAATATTATTAATCTCAGTCTCTGTCCTACATATCATCTCTGGCAACAATAAAAAATTACAAGACACACAAAAAAAGCTAAAGCAATCAACCACCAAGAGATATAGAAATTAACAGAACCAGATTCAAGAGATTATATTTCCCAGATGCTGAAATTATCAGAGAACTTGAAGTAAGTAAAATTAATGTCAAAGACTCTTGTGGAAAATGTGGACAACATATATGAACAGATAAGGAACGTTAGCAGAGAGACAGAAACTATAAGAAAGACTCAGTGAACTTAAAGATAGGTCAATAATGGCCAGGCGCAGAGGCTCATGCCTGTAATCCCAATACTCTGGGAGGCCAAGGCAGGCAGATCACTTGAGGTCAGGCGTTCAAGACCCACCTGGCCAACCTTATCAAACCCCGTCTCTACTAAAAATACAAAAAAAATTAGCTGGGCATGGTGGTGCATGCCTGTAATCCCAGCTATTTGGGAGGCTGAGGCAGAATTGTTTGAACCTGGGAAGTAGGGGTTGCAGTGAGCCAAGATTGCACCACTGTACTCCAGCTTGGGTGACAGAGCGAGACTTCATCTCAAAAAAAGAAAAAAAACGGTCAGTGAAAAGTATCTAAACTGAAACAGAGAAGAAAAAAAGAAAGAAAAATGGAGAGAATATCCAAGAACGATGGTACAATTAAATCATCTAACACATGTGTCATTAGAATCCCAGAAAGAGAAAATGGGGCAGAAGAAATATTTGAAGAGGAAAAAGCCAAGAAATTTCCATAAATTATGAAAGATATCAAACTGCAGATCCAAGCAGCAAAGAGAATAGGCTAAAACACATACACACAATGTATTCAAACAGCTGCCCTAAGAGAAAATCTTAAAAGCAGGGGTGGAGGGAGGTGGAGGGGAAGGTGGTGAGAGCAGCACACATTTATGCATTACATACAAAAGAAAAAAGACAGTTATACACTAGACTTCTCAAAAAAACTATGAGAGCCAGAGACAATGAAGTGTATTTTTTTAAAGTACTGAAAGAAAACAAAACACCACTGACCCAGAATCTTATATACGGTGAAAAATACCAGACAGTGGTTGCCAGGGGTTAAAGACAGGGAGGTATGGAAAGTGACTACTAATGGGTGTGGTTTTATTTGGGGTTGATAACAGCATTCTGGAATTAGTGATGATGGCTGCACAACATTTTGTGGGGTTTTTTTTGTTTTTTTTTTTGATAGAGTCTCACTGTGTCACCTAGGCTGGAGTGTAGTGGTGTGATCTCGGCTCACTGCAACTTCGACCTCCTAAGCTCAAGTGATCTTCCCACGTCAGACTCCCAAGTAGCTGGGACCACAGGCACGAGCCACCATGCATGGTTAATTTTAGAGCCACTGTGCCTGGCCAAGGTTTTGAATATACTAAAAACCACTGTACATTTTAAAAGGGTGAATTTTATTATATGTGAATTATATATCAATAAAAAGCATGAATTTTTTTTTTTTTTTTTTTGAGATGGAGTCTCACTCTGTCGCCCAGGCTGGAGTGCAGTGGCGCCATCTCGGTTCACTGCAAGCTCTGCCTCCTGGGTTCATGCCATTCTCCTGCCTCAGCCTCCCAAGTAGCTGGGACTACAGGTGCCCGCCACCACGCCCGGCTAATTTTTTGTGTGTTTTTAGTAGAGATGGGGTTTCACCGTGTTAGCCAAGATGGTCTCGATTTCCTGACCTGGTGATCCGCCCACCTCGGCCTCCCGAAGTGCTGGGATTACAGGCATGAGCCACTGTGCCCGGCCCTGATGATTTTTTAAAATAAAGAAATAGATACTTTTTCAGACAAAAAAAAAATCAGAATTTATTACCAGCAGACCCACACTACAAGAAAAATTAAAGTCCTTCAGGCAGAAGGGCTGTAATACCAGAGAGAAAACTGGATCTATACAAATAAGTGAAGATCCATGGAAATGGCTAAAATGAAGGTACGTGTACAAAGACTTTTCTTATTTTTTACCACTCTAAAACATAATTGACCATCTACAGTAAAATAGCAATGTATTGTAAGTTTATAGTATATGTAAAAATAAAATGCATAACAGTAGCCCAAAAGACAGGAGGAACTGGGAGAATACTGTTGTAAGGTATTTTCAATAGTAATGTAGTGTATAAAGACAGAATGTTATTAACTTAAAATGTATGCTGTAAGCTGTAGGGCAACTACTAAAAACATTTATTTATTTATTATTTTTTTTGAGACGGAGTCTCACTCTGTTGCCCAGGCTGGAGCACAGTGGCGCAATCTTGGCTCACTGCAAGCTCCGCCTCCCGGGTTCATACCATTCTCCTGCCTCAGCCTCCCAAGTAGCTGGGACTACAGGCACCCACCACTGCACCAGGCTAATTTTTTTTTTGTATTTTTAGTAGAGACAGGGTTTCTCTACTGTTAGCCACGATGGTCTTGATCTCCTGACCTCATGATCCGCCCGCCTTAGCCTCCCAAAGTGCTGGGATTAGAGTTGTAAGCCACTGCGCCCGGCCTAAAGACATTTTTTGAGAGGCAAAAATAATAAGCCAATAATAGAGATGAAATGCAATTATAAAAGATTATTCCCAAAACAGAAAGATCAGGAGAAAAGGAACAAAGAGTTGATGGAACAAATAGAAAACTAGCAAAACAATGGATTTTAACCCAATCACATCAATAATTACATTAAATTAAATGTTCTAAACACAAATTAAAAGAATGATTGTCAGACTGAATCAAAAAGGAAAATCCAACTATCTGTAGTGTAAAAATTAAGTTCAAGTCCAGGCGCAGTAGCTCATGCCTGTAATCCCAGCACTTAGGGGGTGCTGAGGCAGGCGGATCACCTGAGGTCAGGAGTTAGAGACCAGCCTGGCTAACATGGTGAAACCCTGTCTCTACTAAAAATACAAAAATTAGCCAGACATGGTGGCACGCACCTGTAATCCCGGCTATTCAGGCGGCCGAGGCAGAATTGCTTGAACCCAGGAGGTGGAGGTTGCAGTGAGCTAAGACCACACCATTGCACTCCATCCTGGGCAACAAGAGTGAAACTCTGTCTCAAAAAAAAAAAAAAAAAAAAAAAAAAGAATTAATGTATATTAAGCTAATACACATTAAGTTCCTAGAAAGAGTAACTGACTAGTAGTAAGTGCTTAATATTTGCTATTATAATTGATAGATGTTTTATAAATTAATCTTGTCTTGTACCAAATCATTTGTGTGTTACTAGACTGGCTAGACTGGGAATTTTCTTTTTTAATTTATGTTTTATTTCAATAGGTTTCTGGGGAACAGGTGGTGTCTGGTTACATGAATAAATTCTTTAGTGGTGATTTCTGAGATTTTGGTGCACCCATCACTGATAGGGAATTATCTGAGGGTGAGGCAAACTCTCTTGACTACTGAAACTGCCCCAAAGAGTTAAAAAACAAACAAACAAACAAAAACACCAATGACTAAATTCTTGGGCTTACAGGATAGCACATAAGAAAATAACTTGCTGAAACAGTGAAACTCCCTCCGCTTGTAAGATAACAAAACTGGCTGAATTGGTTGGAACCAATAACTGACTAGAGTATATGCAAAACAAGCTTGCTTATATCACAGCCTGAATTTCCACCACATTTCACACTAACTCCCCCTGAATTTGCACATGAGACCTATATGGAGGCAGGAAGAGATAACTGCACATACCTGAAGACTTTCCAGGCCTCCCCTTTCCTTCCACCAATCACCTACTAATCCCAGAATCCACTCCCTAAACATTTTTTTAATAAAAGTACTCCTTAAAGCCAGCTAGGGAGACAGAGTTGAGCTGGACTCCTGTCTTCTTGTTAGTCGACTTGAAATAAAAAACTTTTCTCGGCCAGGCGCAGTGGCTCACGCCTGTAATCCCAGCACTTTGGGAGGCCGAGGCGGGTGGATCACAAGGTCAGGAGATTGAGACCATTCTGGCTAACACCGCGTCTCTACTAAAAATACAAAAAATTAGCCGGGCCTGGTGGCACACGCCTGTAGTCCCAGCTACTTGGGAGGCTGAGGCAGGAGAATCGCTTGAACCCGAGAGGCAGAGGCTGCAGTGAGCCGAGATCACGCCACTGCACTCCAGCCTGGGCAACAGAGAGAGACTCTGTCTCAAAAAAAAAAAAAGAAGAAAAAAAAAAACTTTTCTCTGTTACCCAGGCTGGAGTGCAGTGGTGCAATCTCGGCTCACTGCACCCTCCACTCCCCACCCCAGGCTCAAGCTATCATTCCACCTCAGCCTGCCAAGTAGCTGGGACCAGCTACTCAGTATCATGGTATTGGCTTCTAGCACATTGGGTAGCAAGTCCCTTTTACTCGGTAACACTATTTCCAGTCCCCAAAATGAGATGACAGGTGAACAAACAATTCCCAATTTTAACAAGCAAACTGCTAAGAACTCAGGTGCTTTAGCAGTGTCAGACTAAATAATCTAATTAAAAATAAAACATGATGTTGGCATGTCAGATTTGTTTTCAATCTCCTGATAATGTTTTAACATGAACAGTTCAAATTATGTCTTACAGTGAAAGGGTTTTTGTTTCATTTTTGAGATGGGGTCTCACTCTGTCACTCAGGCTGGAGTACAGTAGCACGACCTCAGCTCACTGCAACCTCCACCTCCTGGGCTCAAGTCATCTTCCCACCTCAGCCTCCCAAGTAGCTGGGACCACGCCCAGCTAATTTTTTGTATTTTTGGTAGAGATGGGTTTTCGCCATGTTGCCCAGATTGGTCTTGAACTCCTGAGCTCAAGTAATCCACCTGCTCTGGCCTCCCAAAGTGCTGGGATTACAGGCATGAGCAACCGTGCCTGGCCTGAACCACTGCGCCCAGCCACAGTGAAAGTTTTATGAAGGAAATGTTAAACGTAGAGTTGTAATATGACCTAGCAATTCCACTCCTAGGCATCTATCCAAGAGAGATGAAAACAAATCCATGCAAAACTTGTACATGAATGTTCATAGCAGCATTATTCATAATAACCAAGAAGTGGAAACAATCCAAGTGTCTATCAACTGATGAATGAATTAACAAAATGTGGTCTGTTCTTACAAAAAGGAATGAAGTGCTGATCCATGCCAAACATGGATGAATCTTGAAAACATTATGCTAAATCAAAGAAGCCAGTCACAAAAGACCACATATTCTATGATTCTGTTTTTATGAAATGTCCAAAATAGGCAAATCCAGAGATGGAAAGTAGATTCGTGTTTGACAGGGGCTGGGCATAGTGGAGAATAAAGAGTGATTGCTAATGGATATGTAGTTTCCTTCTAGAGTGATAAAAATATTCTAAAAATAGAGGTAATAATTGCATACTTTGAACATACTAAAACATTCCTGAATTGCACATTTTAAAAAGGTGAATTTTAAGGTGAATTATCTCTCAATGAGCTCATTTCATTTCATTTCACTTTATTTTATTTTATTTTGACAGAGTCTTGCTCTGTCGCCCAGTGCAGTGGTGTGATCATAGCTCATTGCAGCCTCTATCTCGTGGGTTCAAGTGATCCTCCCACCTCAGCCTTCCGAGTAGCTGGGACTACAGGCACACACCACCATGCCCAGCTAGTTTTGTATTGTTTGTAGAGACGGGGTTTCACCATGTTGCCCAGGCTGGTCTCAAACTCCTAGGCTCAAGCAATCTTCCCGTCTTGGGCTCCCAAAGTGCTGGGATCACAGGCGTGAGCCACCGCACTGGGCCAAAGCTGTTATTTTAAAATAAATAAATAAAACTATGGGGAAGAAAAAAATGTCCTTTGGATTAATTTGTTTCCCTGTGCCTTTCCAAATATATATTGTGAATGCTGATAATGATACCTTCTCTGTCTTGATTTGAGGAAAATAGATGAAGTATGGCTGCCTCTGGTTTGTTCCCTGACATCGCTGCCACTCATAGAATCCATCTGCTAAAACGACACAGCGTCTTCCCTTTCCCAGAGGCACCTGAGGGAAAATGTGAGCAAGATATGGTCTTAGTGATACAATCATGTTTCACAGGCTGCCATTACTTGGAGAACTTGAATTAAAATCTGAGGTTTGGGCCAGGCGGGTGGCTCACGGCTGTAATCCCAACACTTTGGGCGGCCGAGATGGGAGGATCACTTGAGGTCAGGAGTTCGAGACCAGCCTGGCTAACAAGGTGAAAGCCCATCTCTACTAAAAATATAAAAATCAGCTGGGCGTGGTAGTGCACACCTGTAGTCCCTGCTACCTGGGAGGCTAAAGCACGAGAATCACTTGAACTTGGAGGCAGAGGTGGCAGTGAGCCAAGATCATGCCACTGCACTCCAGCCTGGGCAAAAGTATGAGACTCCATCTCAAAATAAATAAACAAACAAATAAATACATAAAATCTGAGGTCTGCCAATGTATGACCTTAAAACAGTTATTTAATTTCTCTGTACCTCTCTTTTCTTTTTTTTTTTTTTTTTGAGACGGAGTCTTGCTCTGTCGCCCAGGCTGGAGTGCAGTGGCGTGATCTCGGCTCACTGCAAGCTCCACCTCCTGGGTTTACTTAAGCCATTCTCCTGCCTCAGCTTCCCGAGTAGCTGGGACTACAGGCGTCCGCCACCACGCCCGGCTAATTTTTTGTATTTTTAGTAGAGACGGGGTTTCACCGTGTTAGCCAGGATGGTCTCGATCTCCTGACCTCGTGATCCGCCCATCTTGGCCTCCCAAAGTGCTGGGATTATAGGTGTGAGCCACCGTGCCCGGCCACTCTCTTTTCTTATGTATAAAGAAAGTCACAACTCACATAGATGTTGAAAAGATTAAATAATGTACATAAAAGCAATCACCTCTTTTCTAACAAATAGGTACTTGTCATAGCTAGTCTTCAAAGGTGCCTCCCCAATGAAGCATGCTTCCCAGTATTCACACCCTATGTAGACACCTCCCACACTGAATTTGGGCTGGCTCTGTGTAACCCATAGAATGCAACAGAAGTAGGCCGGGCGTGATAGCTCACACCTGTAATCCCAGTACTTTGGGAGGCCCAGACAGGTGGATCACTTGAGCCCAGGAGTTTGAGACCAGCCTGGGCAACATAGCCAGACCTTGTCTCTATTTAAAAAAAAAAATTAAACAATAACAATAAAAGAATACAGCATAAGTAATGCTGTATGACTGCCAAGATTAAGTGATGCTGTAAGACAAAGGCTTATATCTTCTGTCCTGCTCTGTTGGATCATGAGCTCTGGGGTAAATGAGTCACCGTAACAGAAGCCTGGCTACCCTGACACCCTCGAGCTAGGCATATGGAAAGCCTTCTAGTTGTTCTAGTCATCCCAGCTGAAGGGTCAGATGTGGGTGAAGAAGTCATCTTGGACATCCAGCCTCAGCTGCCATCTAACTGCAACATGAGAACTTCCAAGTGAAAACTGCCCAGATGAGCCCAGTCAACCCAGAGAATATGAGAGATAATGTTTATCATTTTGTTTCACACTACTAAGTCTGGTGTGGTTTGTTATGTAGTAACAAAATAGCATTCCACATTAACAACTGGGAACATTCTTTTTTGTGTTATTTATTTATTTTTGGTTGTCCTCTGTAGGCTAGGATGGAAACACCCTTTGGAACCTTATTTCTGAGGTATACGGGGCACTAATAGCTACCAGCCACCTACCTTAAATGACCGTTTCTCCATTACGGTATCACTACGACAGTTGGTAGTATTGAACTGCAGCTTGGAAGGATCACTTTCTTTGAACCAAGAAGGGACCAAGCCCCAGCGCATGGGAGCAATGATACGCTCAGATGAGTCTGCATCCTGCCACGGAGAGAAGATCTAGTGAGGAGATCATAATGAAATTCTAACCTAATTTAACATATGTATTTATTACATTATTTAGGAGTATTGAAATATAAAGAATTCAAGATTATTTTTAAACAGGGAATCTACTTGAAAACAATTTTTTTATTTTTTTTGAGATAAGGTCTGGCTCTGTCATCCAGGCTGGAGTGCAGTGGCGCTATTTTGGCTCAATGCCACCTCTACCTCCTGGCTCAAGCCATCCTCCCACCTCAGCCTCCCAAGTAGCTGGGACTATAGACACACGCCCCCCCATACCCAGCTAATTTTTGTATTGTTTATAGAGATGGGGTTTCGCTATGTTGCCCAGGCTGGTCTTGAACTCCTGGGCTCAAGTGATTTGCCCACCTTAGCCTCCCAAAGTGTTGGGATTGTGGGTGTGAGCCACCACAACCAGCCAAAAACAATTTAATGACTTATCATGATGTAGGTAACTTGAGTTCTTTAGCAATCATATTTACTAGAATGTAAGACATTCTGCTTGAATAAGGTAGAGGGATGCAAAGAGGTTTAGTTTCTTTAAACTTTTTTGTTTTTTAGAGACAGTTTCGCTCTGTTGCCCAGGCTGGAGTGCAGTGGCACAATCATAGCTCACTGCAACGTTGAATTCCTGGGCTCAGGTGATCCTCCTGCTTCAGCCTCCCAAGTAGCTGGGACTACAGGTGCACACCATCATGTCCAGCTAATTTTGTAGAGATGAGGTTTTACTATGTTCCTCAGGCAGGTCTCGAATTTTTTTATTTTTATTTTTTTTTGAGACGGAGTCTCGCTCTGTTGCCCAAGCTGGAGTGCAGTGGCACGATCTTGGCTCATTGCAACCTCTGCCTCCTGGGTTTAAGCGATTCTCCTACCTCAGCCTCCCGAGTAGCCGGGACTACAGGCTTCCACCACCACGCCAGCTAATTTTTGTATTTTTACTAAAGACGGGGTTTCACCATTCTGGCCAGGCTGGTGTTGAACTCCTGACCTTGTGATCCACCCGCCTCAGCCTCCCAAAGTGCTGTGATTACAGGCATGAGCCCCTGTGCCTGGCCTGGTCTCGAACTCTTAGGCTCAAGTGATTTTCCTGCCTCGGTCTCTCAAAGCACTGGAGGATGCTATTTTTAGGAAAACCTATATACAAGGTTGGCCCTCAACAACTCAGAACTAGATTTTGAGAGTATTCCCACTTTTCCCCAACTCATAAGGGTGGTTTATTCCGCCTAGTCTGTGTAAACAATAAAGTTTATGCCAACACCTGTTTTCCTTCTGGGAGTCTGAAATTTTGGTACCTGCTAGGTATCTGGTAGAGTGCCTACATGATCAGCCTCCAATAAAAACCTCGGACCCTGAGTCTCTAATGGGTTTCTCTGGGCATAAACGTTGTACATACTAACCTGGGCAACATGGCAAACTCCAGTTTCTACCAAAAAAAAAAAAAATTATTCTGGTGTGGTGGCATGCACCTGTAGTTCCAGCTACTTAGAAGGCAGAGGTAGGAGGACCACTTGAGCCTGGGAAGTTGAGGCTGCTAGTGAGCTGTGACTGAGCCACTGCACTCCAACCTGGACCACGGAGCAGGACCTTCTCTCAAAAAAAACAAAACAAAACAAAACAAAAAAACCCCACAAAAAAAAACAAAAACACTGTACATATACATTACTACATTTTTCGTTGCTGGAGAAAGTAACATGCTTGCAGTATCCTCCCACAGGAAGGAAAACATAAGGAAACCTGTGCATGACTTTTTCCAGATTTCTACTAGTGTCTTTTTCCTTTGCTGATTCTATTCTGCGTCCTTTTACTAATAAACCTTAGACACACTATGCCTTATATGCTTAGCCCTTCTAATGAATCTCTAAATATGGGGGCAGTCTTGGGGACTCCCAACGCATGGTTGTCAAACTTTTTTTAAGTAATGGGCCCCTTGATAATTTGATGAAATCTACAGATTAAGCAGCACATACACATTATTCTGCATGGCACAGTACACTCTGGGTTGGGAGAGACCAGTGAGCAGAGAGTGCATTTTGGGGTGTTACTACAATGGTTCAGGGGTCTGGTGATGGCAGTGAGAAAAACAGTGACATCCAAAAGATTTAAAAAAAAATAAAAAGAAATTGTAGTACAAATGGATTTGGATGAAAAAAAGCAAGGATGATTAAGTTTTCAAGCCCAGAAGAGTGAAATAATGATGGTACTACTGAACAGAGAAGAAAAAATGCTGATGAAATGTTTTATGAAGATCATATGTTGAATTTCTGATACTAGTGAGAAGTCTGTGGCAGTTTTCAAAAAATGGTTGCAAAATCTGACACTCCTCCCATTGAGAATTGGGAATCTATGTTCGTTCCCCTTGAATCTGGACGGGCTTGTAACCAACAGAATGTGGCATGAGTGATACTATATGATTTATCTCATAGTTCTGAAAGCTGGGATTAAGGTGCCAGCAGATTTGGTGTCTGGTGAGGGCCCACTTTCTGGTTCACAGATGGTGCCTTCTCACTATGTTGTCACATGGTATCTCTGGGGTGTCTTTTATAAGGACACTAATCCCAGTCATGAGGGCTTTGATTCCCAAAGGTCCTATCTCCTAATACCATCATCTTGGGGGTTAGGATTTCAACATATGCATTTTTCAAGGACACAAACATTCAAACCATAGCAGCTGTGGTCTAATAAGACTTTATACAAACAGGCAGTAGGCCAGATTTGGTCTGAGGACCGTAGTTTGCCAATCCCTGGTATAGAGGAAAGATCAAGGTCTTTGTAAGGAGATCCTGGTTCAAAAATCCTTTCTCTGAGCCAGGCATGGTGGCTCACGCCTGTAATCCCAGCACTTTGGGAGGCTGAGGCGAGCGGATCACCTCAGGTCAGGAGTTTGAGACCAGCCTGGCCAACGTGGCAAAACCCCATCTTTCCTAAAAATACAAAAATTAGCTGGGTGTGGTGGCGTGTGCCTGTAACCCCAGTTACTCGGGAGGCTGAGGCATGAGAATTGCTTGAGCTCGGGAGGTGCAGGTTGCATTGAACTGAGATTGTGCCACTGCACTCTATGACTCTGATGGAAAAAAAAAAAAATCCTGGGCCGGGCGCGGTGGCTCATGCCTGTAATCCTAGCACTTTGGGAGGCAGGTGGCTCATGAGGTCAGGAGATCGAGACCATCCTGGCTAACACGGTGAAACCCCGTCTCTACTAAAAATACAAAAAAAATTAGCCGGGCGTGGTGGCGAGTGCCTGTAGTCCCAGCTACTCAGAAGGCTGAGGCAGGAGAATGGCGTGAACCCGGGAGGAAGAGCTTGCAGTGAGCCGAGTTTGTGCCACTGCACTGCAGCCTGGGCAACAGAGCAAGACTCCATCTCAAAAAAAAAAAAAATCCTTTCTCTGCTACTTATGAGGTTGGACTAGTCTCAACTTCTTGGGCCTTCAACTTTCCTTATCCAAAAATTAGAACAAACAATAATTACCCTGTGGGATAATTTTCAAGAATGAAAGATAATATAGTTAAAATGTGTGGCATGGAGTAGGCACTCAAATTGTAGTATAGTATTTTTCTAAGGTAAGGATTAAAAACAAATCATAAAATTGTCTATAAAAAGATGACTATTAATGCCATGAAGGTAAAGTTTCTTAGAGAGTATATCATGTACAGGATTTAACCTGAGGGTACAAAAAATTTTGTTAAAAGAAGAAATTAGGGTAAAAGCAGAGTTCCAAGTAGAAGTACCTACTAAGATAAAAGTAGAACGAAGAAAGTCAGGAGAGAATGGAATCTGAAGAAAGGAATCATCAGTAGTCGCAGTCTCAGGAGAAGGGCTTCCTTTTGTTTAAAAGCTAATCCCTCCATAGTGCTGCTGATAAAATCCAGTCCTGCTTCTTCCAGAATCCTGCCTGCTGTATCCATTAATTCTCTTTTTCTTGAGATGGAGTCTCGCTCTGTTGCCCAGGCTGGAGTGCAGTGGCACGATCTCAGCTCAATGCAACCTCTGCCTCCCAGGTTCAAGCGATTCTCCTGCCTCCGCCTCCCAAGTAGCTGGGATTATAGGCATGTGCCACTACGCCCAGCTAATTTTGTATTTTTAGTAGAGACAGGGTTTCACTATGTTGGTTACGCTGGTCTCGAACTCCTGACCTCAAGTGATCCGCCTGCCTCAGCCTCCCAGCCTCCCAAAGTGCTGGGACTACAGGTGTGAGCCACTGCGCCCGGCCAATTCTCTTTTCATATATATACACACAAACAGTTGATTCCCTTTATTTGCAGTAGTTAGATTTCATAAAGTTGCTTTGAGTACTGAACTGCTGCTCTTAGGGAAATGCAAGGTTATGTTTCTAACAGCATCTGGTGACGACACTTTCATCAACTGATCAATATATGACCTTGTTTTATGTGTGTTTCTGTTTAAAGACATCTAATTTAAACTTACTCTTAATTCATTTACACTAAATTCAAGACCAAGAGCACTATAACTCATGCCTGACTAAAGCTTATCCAATGTATATATCTTCTTTTTAAGACATATCACAGCCTTCTTTAGCTTGGGAATACCAGCCAGCACTTTAGTGCTATGCTTGGGATCATTTTAAACAGTGAAATCACACATGGCACTAAACTGGCTGCAAAAAAGATACTTGTTTATAACGTAAGAGATGAAACAAGAAGGCAGAGCTCTGCCTCGATCAACCTCAGCTGGAAACATCAAGGTACTCAAATTTGTCAGCTCTCTGTATGTGCACCAATGATTGCAAAAGCAAAGTGAGTATGAATTTAGGGGTTACAAATAAATTTTAGTGAGTAGGTGAATTTGGAAATATGGAATCTAAGAATAATGAGGACTGTTTGTGTGTGTTTGTGAGAAAGAACAGTTGAAAACAGAGATTTCATAAATCCTCTTTCTCTTCCAGAATCAAATTTGCCTTCTGGCAGCTCAAGCCTATAATCCTGGCACTCTGGTAGGCCAAGTGGGGAGGATCCCTTGAGCTCAAGGTTGATTTTTCTTTTTTGAGACAGAGTTTCGCTCTTGTTGCCCAGGCTGGAGTGCAATGGCGCGATCTTGGCTCACTGCAACCTCCGCCTCCCACGTTCAAGCGATTCTCCTGCCTCAGCCTCCCAGGTAGCTGGGATTACAGGCATGCACCACCACACCCGACTAATTTTGTATTTTTAGTAGAGACAGGGTTTCACCATGTTGGTCAGGCTGGTCTACAACTCCCGACTGCAAGCGATCCACCTGCCTCAGCCTCCCAAAGTAATGAGATTACAGGTGTGAGCCTCTGCACCTGGCCTGAGCTCAAGAGTCTTGAGACCAGTTTGAGCAACACAGTGAGAACTTCCCCCTCAAAATGTCAAAAGGAAAAGCCTGTGATCCCAGCTGCTGGGGAGGTTGAGGCAGCAGGATCGCTTGAGCCTGGGAGGTCAAGGTTGTAGTGAGCCATGATTGCGCCACTGCACTCCAGCCTGGGCAACACAGCAAGTCCCTGTCTCCAAAAAAAAAAAAAAGTCTTCCAAGCAGAAGGACCCCCAGCTCAGTGCATAAATGAGAATGAGACAACATTACGCAATGGTCAACTAAATGATCTTTCATCAGAAATTTGCAAGACAACAATACTGAAAAAATCTGTGGTTCTCAGTACGGGACAATTCTGACACACCCCTCCCCACCATCCAGAGACTTCTGGCAGTATCTGGAGATACCTTTGGTTGCTCTGATCTGGGGGATGCTATTGTGGAGGATGCTACTGACATCTAGCTGGTAGAGGATGTTGCTAAACGCTCTACAACGCCCAGAATAGCTCCCTATGACAAAAAATTATCCTGGCCAAAACTGTCAACAGTGTCAAGGTTGAGAATTCTGCTCTCACAAATTCCACTGATCAGCGCTGAGAGTGTACCCTTGACAACTGTAAACCAAATCCAAATGTGAGAATGACGAATAGAAAGTAGTTGAAAAGCCAAAATACTAAGACCATTGCTCAATATTAGTCATCTTTCCTCTACCCTTTTGGACTTCTGAACAGAACACCTGGTAGCACTGGGGTGGATAAATGAAACAGGAAGTAATTTGCAAATCTGTGGTTTCAAATGAAAATGTTGCTATCTATATACATATGCAGGCTGTTAATGATTTGAATGAACTGCTAAAATGGTTCTAATTTTGCTTTATAATTTATAGGTCTGAGAAAAATGAGATATCAAATATTATCAAAATTAAGAAACCATAGCAATCTTAATAAAACTTGTTAGAGATGTGAAATCAAATACTATATCAGCAAATTCATACCACTGGCCCAAATGAGGGCTGTATTTGCTAGTGGCTCCACCTTCCCCATTCCTGGTTCCAGGATGCATCCACTGGAGTGGGGACGGTGGTCTGGATCTCAGTTCTAGTTCTGTCCCTCACTGATTAGGTAACCTAGGACAAGTCATAATCTATGTATACTTCTATCTTTACATCTGTTAGACAAATTTTTCTTCCAGCTAACTTTCTATAATTCTAAGGAGGTCATATAAATGACTAAGGCTTTTTTTTTTTTTTTTTGTTAAAAACAGGGTCTCATTTGCTCAGGCTGGTGTCCTGAAATCCTGGCCTGAAGCAATTCTCTGGCCTCAGCCTCCCCCAAAGTGCTAGAATTACAGGCGTGAGCCACCAGGCCTGGCCAGGCTCATACACTTAATCCTGCTCTCTATTCTCACTCTAAGTTATGCTTTCCTTTGAAATATGTTTTATGCTCTCTTTTCCCCTTCAAGGTTCTCCAGAATATTTTATTTTGATTCCCCTCTCATTTAAAACAAAAAGTTTCAATAGGGAAGTATGCATCCTCTAAAAATGACACAAAAATAACTATGTCATATAAATGGCTTCATTCAACCAAGAACATTATTTGATTTTTTTTTTTTTTTTTTTTTTGAGACTGAGTCTTGCTCTGTCACCCAGGCTGGAGTGCAGTGGCACATTCTCGACTCACTGCAACCTCCACATTTTTTTTTTTTATAGTACAGACAGAGTTTCATCATGTTGGCCAGACTGATCTCAAACTCGTGACCTCAAGAGATCCCACTGCCCCGCCTCAGCCTCCCAAAGTGCTGAGATTACAGGCGTGAGCCACCGTGCCCAGCCATTATTTGTTATCTTTATTTCTTTTTGAGATGGAGTCTCACTCTGTTGCCCAGGCCAGAGTACAGTGGCACAATCTTGGCTCACCCCAACCTTCGCCTCCCGGGTTCAAGCGATTCTCCTGCCTCAGCCTCCCAAGTAGCTGAGATTACAGGCGCCCGCCATCACACCCAGCTAATTTTTGTATTTGCAGTAGAGACGGGGTTTCACCATGTTGGCCAGGCTGGTCTCGAACTCCTGACCTCAGGTGGTCCAGCCGTCTTGGCCTCCCAAAGTGCTAGGATTACAGGTGTGAGCCACCATGCCCAGCCTGTTATCTTTATTTCAAAATGATGTGATTCCCTATAATGCAGAAATGAGTCCTTTTTGACTATCATATTATCACAAAAGTTTAAAGAGTATGTACCAGAGGTATAATCAACTTTATAAAGTGATTTCAGCATTATGAATCAAATACAGTCAAAATTCAGGAAGGAAACAATCACAATTTTTTTTTTTTGAGATGGAGTCTCGCTCTGCCGCCAGGCTGGAGTGCAGTGGTGCAATCTCAGCTCACTGCAACCTCCACCTCCCAGGTTCAAGTGATTCTCCTGCCTCAGCCTCCCAAGTAACTGGGACTACAGGTGCGTGCCACCATACTCAGCTAATTTTTGTATTTTTAGTAGAGATAGGGTTTCACCATGTTGGCCAGGATGGTCTCGATCTCTTGACCTCGTGATCCGCCCGCCTCCACCTCCCAAAGTGCTAGGATTACAGGCGTGGGCCACCGTGCCCAGCCAACAATCACGATTTTTAAAAACATGTCAAGGTCATTTAAAATATTTAAGACATGGAGAAACTATTACTTTCTAGAACGAAGCATTTTTATTACACACACATACAAAGACACACACACTTTCAGGAGATAAGGCAAAAAACTAAAATATGAATGTAAGTGACTGGTAATTCCAACACTACAGGGATAAATACTATAAACACAATGAATGCAATTAAACTTCAGATAACCAAACCAAATACGTGTTTCTAGCCTTAGTAAAAGACAAACACAAAAAGATTGAAAACACAAGCAGAAAGAATAAAACTTTTCAATGCTCAAGAAACATCAGAAGTGTTTTAAATTAACTGATCTTAAGCCTGTCCTAGGCCTAGAGAAGTCTGATTAAGCTGGCCTGGTAAAGGGCATAGAAATATTCTTAAATTTTTTATTTTTTTAAATTTTTTCTTTAGGCAGGGTCTTGATCTGTCACCCAGGTGGGAGTGCAGTGGTACAACCATGGCTCATGAAGCCTCGACCTCCCCAGCTCAAGTGATCTTCCCACCTCATTTTTTTATTTTTTGTAGAGATGGGGTCTCCCTATGTTGCCCAGGCTGGTCTCCAACTCCTAGGCTCAAGTGATCCTCCCACCTCGGCTTCCCAAAGTGCTGGGGTTACAGGCATGAGCCATGGCACCTGGCCTTAAATTTTTTTATTATATTTTTAAGATACTCCAATGACCCTGATGATCAGTGAAAGCTGCTATTTTAAAACACAAAGCTCATATAAATTTGGCATATATTAAGGCTAGTATGCCATGTATAGCAAAGGCATTTAAATTGAGCCTGAAAAATACGTCTTTATCAGTGTTAGAAGCCACTGATAAAACTTCTTTCATGAGGCCAAGAGAGGTTCTCAACTGGAAGTCAGAATATATCAGTAAAGGCTGGTTTTTAATGTCATCCCAAGAGGCTGAGCACACACCAAACCAAATAGGAGATGACCATCACGAGGCTGGGCGAGGGGCTAGCATAGTGCAATGCTGGTTACCTTCTCAAAGTGCAGTCGAGACAGAAGCACTGGGCTGTTGGATTGAGGACTCTTGTTGTAAGAGGGGCAGTACTTATCAGGGTCCCTCCACTCCGGGAGCCGCTGCTGGCCCCGCCGATCCTGGTAGGCGCAAGCTCTCGTGAGAACATCTCTAGGTAAGTGACAGGATGTTCGCCCACACATTCTTCAACACCGCCCCTCGCAACCTTTAAATTACAAAACGTAAGGAAAAGGCTTACGTATCTCAAATATTAGGTCTTATTCCTTGAGTCCCCGCCTTCTCTTTCCGTTCCCACAGGGCCGTGCCCCTCCGTGACCACCGTCTAAAGTCTTCCCCAAAAAGTCCCACAAAGACAAGGATGTGCCCGTTTGCTTCGCTCCCTGAGCCCACTGCCCAGCTCCGTGCAGGGCACTGAGGCAAGTCCCGAGAGGAGCTCTGCAAATGCCTGCCTGAGCGCAGGAAGAGCCGCAGCGGAGGGGGCTTCACAGTCCAGCGAAGCAGGGCAAGCGCAGCTAGCTGGGGTCGCCTCCTCCGGGTGACTTGGTGCCCCCAACTCCCCGTCCTTCCCCCCAGTCCCCGCTGGGGTCAGCGACCCACGCCGGCCAGCAACCGGTCACCTCGAGGGCGGCCACTGGACGGCCCGGGGCCGGGGTGCAGAATCCCCGCCTCCCGCCCGCTAGTCCGCAGCGTCCCCGGGCCCGACCTGCGAACCTGTGGGCCGCGGATCCCGCTCCGGACTCTGCTCCCCGGAGCGGGGGCCGGTGCTCGGGGAGCAGGTGGCCCCCAGCCACCGGCCGCGATCCCTCGCCCCTCCCCGCGTCGCCTCCGCTCCGCTCCGGCCCTCAGACTCCGCCGCCCCGCGTCGCCTCACTTCGGCCCAGGCCGCCCTCTCCGCGTCGCCTCGCGTCCGCTCGGGCCTCTGCTCCCCTCTGTCAGCTCGCGTCGCTTCCTTTCCCCTCCCCTCCCCTCGCCATACCCCGACCGCCCGCGTCGCCTCCCCTCCCCTCACCTCGCCCCGGCAGCGCGCGTCACCTCCCTCGACTCTCCTCACCCCCGCTCCGCTCCGCTTTGGCCACCCGCGTCACCGCCCCTCACGTCAGCCCCGCCTCAGCCCGCGCTCCCGGCGCCAGGCCCCGCCCCCAAGGGCCCTTGGTTCCCGCGGTGCCCTCGGGCCCCGGAGGCGGCGTCTTCTCCCCTCCGGTTTGGGATGAATTTTCTCCCGTTTCCCCAGGAGACAGTGACTGCCTTGGGAGACATATCGATCCCAAGCTTCTCGGGACTCCACTTTCCTCCATATTGGCCGTTCCCTGGCGGGGTTAACCTTCCTCCCCGCCCCCAGCGTGTTTCAGGGCTGGCAGGGAAGGTTCCCGCCGCGCTGAGTCTAGGGCACAGGGTCATGGAAGGCGGGAAACCAGGAAACTCCACTCCTTACTTCACAGTCCTGCCAGCTGCCTCACAGTGCGAGGCAAAAATGGAGGAACACTGAAGAAATGAAAGTCAGAAGAACTTCCAGGAATCGCGCACTTCGCCCTCAAACATTGGTGGGCACTAGAATAAGCCTTTCCTGCCCCAGCCCCTCAGCTGAATCTCTAAGGGTGAGGCCCAGATTTTTAAAACAGCCCTTTCGGGTGTACTTTGGCCTCAAAGTTGGTAAAATAGCCTGGCTTGAGTTTAAAAGCCTGCTCCCCTTGGGACCTAAACCGGAGATTCTTCATCTGCAACCAACAGAGAATGCTCTAGAGGGCTGTTCGCCTATGCTGATTCGCTGAACTGAACAGGGAGCAGAAACCCCAGGGCACACTCCATGTAAGACCAGATGCTGGAACGATCAGACACAGGACCCAAGCCCTTTGGAGCCTCCATTTATCGACTATCAAAGGAGGATGCGTTGTGAAGAAGCACGAACGGGAGGGAGTGTGAACTCTGCCTGTTAGCTGATTCACTCAACCACCCTCTACCGCTCCCACCCCTGGGCTTGGTGCTGGGACAGCGATGACGGGGAGAGGGTCCTGCCTCACAGGACTACAACAGCCAAAGGGCTGTGGGTGCAAGGGGGACAGGGCAGGTGTTCTGCCTCTTTAGGGGAGGCCTTGAAGGGGAAGGTGGAGCCCTGAAGCATGAGTCTGCAGAAGTAGCAATCATTCAATAAATACATGCTGATTTATTACAGGGATAAGATGGTTTCTTGGGGGATAGATTCAAGAGGAGTTGAGAATGTTTTATTCATTTACAATGTCCCTTTCCTGGAAGGGTGGACAGCAAGATTTAGGACAAGCTAAAATCATCCCCTATTTAAAAAAAAAAAAAAAAAAAGTCACCAGCAAGTAGTCCCGGGTGGGAGGTGGGAGCAGAATAAAAAAAAATCTGCAATGATTCCTAATTGTTTTTCAATACAGAAGCTTGGGAAGGGGTTTCTGCCAGTTTCATGAGGAAGGCACAACTTCCAGGTAGTGTTGGGGAAGGGTATGAGGTCCTATGCAGGCTGGCCTCTTATCCCACAGATGCCAAGATGATGTCTACTGGCAGCTCCTCCAAACTTCTGGCTGTCACCTGCATTGTCACTGTGTCCAAAAGCAGCAGCCGGGAGCGCACCAGGATGTCATGACCACCCCGGAACACACCTAGAAGGGAAGAGAGAAGTACAGATATATACAGCAGAAGGGACTGTACAGGGCAGGCTAAGGATGGCATTTGCAGCAACCCATGAAGGCAGCTCTGGTGTAGTGAAACGGGCAGGAGAGCTGGGCTGAAATCCCTGAGTGAGGGATTTCACTGTGAAAGTCACTGTCTCTCAGCCAGGCGCGGTGGCTCACGCTTGTAATTCCAGCACTTTGGGAGGCTGAGGTGGGCAGATCATGAGGTCAGGAATTCGAGACCAGCCTGGCCAACACAGTGAAACCCCATCTCTACTAAAAATACGAAAATTAGCTGGGCATGGTGGTGGACGCCTGTAATCCCAGCTACTCGGGAGGCTGAAGCAGGAGAATCGCTTGAACCCGGGAGGCGGAGGTTGCAGCGAGCAGAGATTGTGCCACTGCATGCCAGCCTGGGTGACAGAGCTAGACTCCGTCTCAAAAAAAAAAAAAAAAAAGAAAGTCACTGTCTCTCAGGACTTCAGTATCCTCAACTACAAAGTGGCAGGGATGATAATACCATATTTCAGGCTTCTGCTAAGTTCAAATGAACTGATGGACATAAAAGGCTTATATCTCATGTCACAGAGGCTCTTGCACGTTGACTGAATCTGAGAGCACAAATGAAGGGGACAGCCCCACCACGAGAAAACCACAGGGCAGGTGTCTGCAAGACCCAGGGGACTAGGTTGTTTCAATGTGGCTACAAACTGTCAGCTGTAGGCAGGGTACTGAAGCAGAGCCTCCTTTCAACCCTGTTTATAAACACTCAGCCAAAAAAAATCATCCCATTTCCTTTTGTTAACTGTTTTAGGTATGATAATTGTATTGTCCTTTAAAAAAGGGAAGGGGTCATTCTCTCTTAGAGAAACATACAGATACAGGATTTACATATAAAATGCTATTTCTGGAGTTTGCTAGTAAATAATCTGGGAAGGAGAATGAGTGTGGGTACACTCAGCCAACCCTGTAGAAAATAAGACAAAGGATATGAAGACAATGATCAGAAAAGGAAATACAAATGCCTCAACATTTAAGAAGATACTTAACTTCATTGAAAATACAAAAACTACACTAAGATATCATTGTCCACACAGACTGGAAAAGATCATAAAGTGTGGTAACATATTATGTTGTCCACAGTGTAGGAAGAAAGGTATACAATTCTATGGAAGGCAACTTGGAGTTATTTATCAAGATGAGAAACACAAATCACTTTGAACTGGTGATGCCTTGGAAAATTTATCCTACAGATATTCTCAGTGTACACATGCAAAGTAAACTGTGTGTGTGTGTGTGTGTGTGTGTGTACACGATTATTTACTGTAACATCTGTAATAGCAAGAGATTGAAATCAAACTAAATGTTCATCAGTAGTGGCTGTTCCATAGAATATGTGGTGCATCCACACAATGGAATACTAAGCAACTATAAAAAAAATGAGGATTCAGTTTGGGATGAAAAAAGTTCTGGAGATGGATGGTGGTCATAGTTTTACAATAGTGTGAATGTACTTAATGCCGCTGAACCATACACTTGAAAATGGTCGAAATGGTGAATTTTATGTATATTTTACCACAATTAAAAGAAAAAGAATGAGGAAGCTCTACATATTGACGGGGAAGATCTCTAAGATGCAATGTAAAGTGAAAAGCAAATCGGAGGACAATATATATACCATTTGTACATAAACATTTGAGTTAAAAAAAGGAAATGCGTTCCTATTAGCTTTTATAGCCATAAAATAACCGCAAGGTTATACAAGTATTGTTTGTAATAGTAACACTGGTCGCTTCTCGGAAGGGAATCTGAATGGCTGGCAGCCAAGGTAGGGAGGAAACATTTCGCTGCAGATTATTTTATACTTTGTGAATTTTAAATGCTGTGAATTTTGACTCCCCATATTTACAGTGGAGTCCTTAGCCCAGGATCCAGTGGCATCCAGGCTGTAAGCTATCCAGGCCCTCCCCATCTAGAAATGCCACTTACCAGCCAGGAGCAACGTGTGGGTGTTCTTGTTATCCGGCACTTTGTCTGACCTCTCACAAGGGTGCATTCCCAAGAACTTCACAATATTACCCACAGCCTCTGTAATGAGAAATCCCAATATTGTTAAGCCATCTTATCTGCCCTTTGTGCCACCACCACTCCCCCATGTTCTGAAGGGCTTTTAATGAAGTGGCATTTGACATATGTGCTCCAGACATGGCCCTGGATCCTTGGAGAGAAAAGGGATGAGCACTTCAATAGTAGCCAAAGATCTTGAACAGTAATTAGGCCAGAGATGGCATTCCCAGGATTTTACCTTCAAGTGTCTTGATGGTAGACAAGGTGAACGTTTCCTCCTTCTCAAATTCATCCCCTACCTCATCCCAGGCTGCTTCGAAGTTCAGTTTCATGACCTTTTGAATGTGATCAGCTACAGTAACTTCCAGATCTTCCAGCTGGAGAGATGGAGGTAGAAATCAGGCACCCATCTACACACCTACGGGCCTCTGCTCTGAACTCATCCACACATCCCTTCCTGCAACTCTTTCCACAGGTGCTTGCTCGGCACTGAGGACTGTGCTAGACTCTGGGGACATAGAGCAACTTGACCAGGTACCTATCCTTGAGGTGCCCAAAGGCAAATGGTATCCCTTCAACAGAAAACGCCCTAATCCCAAGTACCAATCTACTAATTCAGCCTAGAGCCGCCTGCTGTGAGATCACATCTCTTCTAAGCCTGCCTAGTGTCAGTGCTTCCAGGACCTGGCATGCAGGGAATTACATAGCATTCTCAGAGGTCTGCTTCCTATGCCTGTCCCTCCTAGGGGATGATGAGCTCTTCAGGACCAGCAGCTGTTTCTAGTTCAGCAGAAACTAGCAGAAACCTCCTACCCCAGCTGTGTCCTCTGGATTTGACAGATCCTGAATCTCTATCTCCATTTCAGCTGTGTCTTCCCTGAACTTGACACATAATACTCCCACTGAGTCTACATGAAGGTTCCCCATTCATTCTCCCATCAGATTTTCACTGAGGCCCTACTCCTGTGGATGTTTACAGTGTATATAAATACAACTTAGACCCAGCTCTCTCTCTCTTTTTTTTTTTTCTTCATCTCTGGATGGGCTCAAACAGACCCAGCTCTCTCAAGGAGCTCACTTGGTCTTAGAGCAGCTCCTGCCTCGGGGTCATTTCCAGCTCAAGGAAGGTCCATCCATCCTCAACTGTGACTCTAGGATGACACAATGGCGAATGTCAGTTGTATTCCACTGTGACTGTCCCTCTAGTCAGGAGGAGTTCTAACAGTCCCCATCCACAGGCTGAGCATAATGGTCTGCACTCAGATGGCCCTGAGCCACTGCCCCAAAGTCAGACCTCAGAAGGATCCTGTACTTAGTTCCACCGAGCTAAGATAGGAGAATTTAGAAGGGCTATTCCAGTGCATGAAAGGACTGCCCAGCACAGCAAACAGGTCAAATTTATCCAGAAAGCATTTGACAAGAGGAATCAAAATGTCTTAAAATCATGCTTACCCTTTGACCCAACTATTCTCCTTCTAGGAATCTATCCTAAAGAAATAATCTAAAATGCAGATAAAAATTTGTATCTAAAGGGATATTTAATGCAGCAATATAAATAGTGAAAATATGGAAACCCAAATGCCCAACATTAAAGGAGTGAAAAGTCAATCAAGTTTTGACATAGTATATAACAGTATTTTAAATCCACTAAAAAAATTGTGTTTATGAAGTATTTGTAATGATACTGGAAAATACACTATGGTTTTAAAATAGCAAGGTCTACACTGTAAGAATGATTTCAATTATACCACTTCCCCCCAAAAATAACTCTAAGGATTATGAGTAATGTTTTCCTGTTGTTCATACTTTGTTTTGAATTTTGTTTTTGTATTTCCCAAGTTTTCTTTTTACACATGAACATGTATTTCCATAAGTTTAAAAAGTTATTTTAGGCCGGGCGCGGTGGCTCACGCCTGTAATCCCAACACTTTGGGAGGCCAAGGTAGGTGGATCACCTGAGGTGAGGAGATCGCGACCAGCCTAGCCAACATGGTGAAACCCTATCTCTACCAAAAATACAAAAAATTTGGCAGGCATGGTGGTGGGCGCCTGTAATCCCAGCTACTTGGGAGGCTGAGGCAAGAGAATCGCTTGGACCAGGGAGACAGAGGTTGCAGTGAGCCGAGATCGCGCCACTGCACTCCAGCCTGGGTAACAAAAGAGAAACTTCATCTCAAAAAATAAAAATAAAAAAATAAAATTTTAAAGAGCTAAAAAGCCAAAAACAGCTCCAGTCTCACTGTCAGTTCCTGAAGGGAGTTGCTTTGCAGCCTCAGCACAAAACTGAGCTTCCTGACACCAGGATCTTACCACATACTCATCCTCATAGCCTTCGTCATCAGTCTCCCCAGTGGTGGGATCACAGTCCTTGACAGTGAACTTCATCATGCAGCTGAATGTGCAGGCCACTGTGGGGAAGAGAGGCTGGGTAGTTAGGATGTCCCCAGCCTGCAGGGGATGGGCTCCTCCTGCAGGGGACAAGCAGGCAGGGGTCACAGCCTGCTTTCTAGGCCCCTGCTATGTTATTAGTAGCAGCAACAAGCCATCCAATCCCACAAAGCTGGACAGAGGGTGCCACCTTGTAGGACAGGAAAGTCATGAGTTCTAGTGAGATCCTGTCTCTTTAAAAAAAAAAATTTTTAAAGAAGAGCACTTGGGACTCAGCTATTCTTCTTCTTGGGACTGAAATCAAGGAGCTGAAGCTCTAATAGAAGGCAAACAGCTGGTGCCCAGCCGCCCACCTCCTCCTGACCCCATGAGCTCCCAGGAGGATAGGGTGGTATCTGGAGAGGGGCTCACCAGCTGTGGGGTCTTCTTTGGGCAGTGCCACCAGTGTGTAGCAGGTCCCGGGCTGGTTGTAGGGCAGGCTCCGGGCAGGCACGTAACAGAGCACCTCATAGGCCTCAGTGGGCTCCATCTGCACTGTGACATTCTCCAAGGTCTGGTCATTGAGTGTGTTTGTGCAGTCAAACTGAACAGGAAAGAGAGGGGAGCTTAAACATTGCACTAGGTCCGAGCCATGCTGCAGAGGAAAAGCCAGGAGGTCCCACCTCTTTCCTATTGACCAAGGTGATTCCCATCCCAGTCCCCCTGCCCCAGGTTCCCTGTCTTCATGCTGACAATCGGGAGCCATGGATGTCCCGAGTCAAGAGATATGAGAGACCGACCTGTTGGGGACAGATTCTGTCATCAAGTTGGGCTCCCAACCAATGCAGTGTGGGGACCCATGACCCTACAGGACCTGCCAGACCTGGGACAACTCCCTGGGCGCATGCCCCAGCAGGGCCTCAGCCCACCTTGCTCACCTGAAAAACCATGTGGTTGGTGAAGGTGTGTTTGGTGCAGCGGATGACATACTCCGTCTCTGACTCGGTGAGGGCCACGGGCTCAGGCGAGGACTTGAAGAGGGGCCCAAGACCGCGGAACTCTGGCACTGCTGCCAACTGCTCTGAAATCCACAGGCCACATTCACTCAGCTTCTCGATCCCCAGACCAACTTGTTGATGGTTTCTAATAAATTCCCATGACCATTCTCAAGGTGTTCCACCCTACCTTAGATGGATAGATATGTTTACCCAACTGGCTACTCATTATTTCCTGAATATATCCATGCATTTTCTCATCTCCCTGACTTCGCTCATGTGGCACAACCCCCCACAAATACTCTCCCCATCTCTGTACCATGAAAGACCTCAGAAGCAAAAAACTGATATGAGACCACAAAATCCTAGACCTAATTGGAGAATCCCCCAGCTATAGAAGCTTAGCAAGGATTTCCGCCCCCTACCGCAGCAAGGATTCTTAAAAGAAGGTGACAATTAGGAAAATAAGATCGATACTGCTATAGCTACAAAATCAGACAAAATAACAAACTGGTCCTATATATTTATCAGTTAAGACAAATGGCCAATAAAGAGATATTTCAGAATGAGAGTGTTGCAGAAAACCTAACTTAGAATTGTTTGTGTCTGGTAAGACCTATCCCTACACCCTATGCCCAGGTTCAAGCACTGGATTCAAGCACAGGCCCATGGGACCCCACCCTGGCTGGTCCTGGCATTCCTTGCAAACTAAAGGGAATAACCCAAGTGAATGAGGCATCTGGCAGATGTGTGCACATGGTGTCCACCTATAATGGCTACAGCTGCCACTCTTGTACCTATTCTATGGCAGGATTCCTCGCACTATGACCATGGATCAACTGTATCAGAATTACTAGGGGTTGGCGGCAGAGCTTGCTAAAAACTCAGACTCCATCCCAAATCTACTACATCAGAATCTCTGGTTTCAGGATCAAGGAATTTGCATTTCTAACATGTTTCCTCAGATTATTCCAATATATACTGATATTTAAAGACCACTGCTCTAAGATTTTCAACTTGTCTTCCCAATTAATTGAACTCCATGAGAACAGGGATTGTGCTTTGAGGCCATGGATCTGATATTTTTCCCTTTACTTAGAAGGTACTCAATTCACGTTTCAGACATAGAGAAAGGTAGGCCTTATTTTTATTATTTTGCTTTTTTCCTCCACAAAAAGTCAGCCTATGTGACCACTTCAGCCCTCTGCAGCCTGAAGACTGAATCTAATGAATATGCAGGCAATAAAAAGCCCAGAACAATCCAGGCTAGATATTAGGAGGAACTTTTGGGCCACCATGACCATCAACCACTAGAGTGCTTTTCTATTGATATTTATTTTCTTGGGACTCAGAGTTTTGGGCCTGATACTTACTCCCTGGGGGATTCTGTTGGTAGGGTTTCAGACTCTTCATCAATAAAACTGATATCATTATCTTGATCACAGCGTTGTTGTAAAGACAAATGAGGCAATAAATTCAAGATCTAGGAAAGTTCTTGGAACTGAACATGTATGTGATTAGTAAATGTGAGGCTTTTGGATGATTGTTTAAAAATGGAATTGTTACCCTTTAAGCGGCTTAGGAGACTTCCTTGGAAGGTGTGGCAGAATAATGACTCCAAGATGCCCACATGCTAATTCCCAGAACCTGCAGCTATGTTACCTTGCATGGTAAAAGGGACTTTGTAGATGTGATTAAATTAAGGATCTTGAGCTAGGGGTTATCCTGGATTATCCAGGGGGGGCCAGTGTAATCATAAGGGCCCTTCTAGGGCAGAAGGTCAGAGTAGAGAGATTTGAAAAGGCCAGGAGTGTGGCCTCTTCAAATCACTCTACTCTGACCTTCTGCCCTAGAAGGGCCCTTAAAGACGGTGGAAGGGGCCACGAGCCAAGGATACGGGCCACCTCTAGTAGCTGGAAAAGGCAAGGGGGCAATACCTGGAGCCTCCTGAAAGAACTCAGCACTGCTAACAAATGAAACCCACTTTGGACTTCTGACCGCAGAGCTATAAGGTTATAAATGTGTTAAGCCACTAAGTTTGTGGTAACGTGTTACAGCAGCAATAGAAAACTGATATAAATGGAAAGTTTCATGTTATAGCGATCCCAATTAGCTCAGGATCCATGCTATATTGATATAAGACATGATTCTGAGTGTAATGGGGAAGGGGGGATTTCATTTAATTCAACATTAATTGGGAGCCTACTGTGAGGAAGGAAGGCACTGGGCTCAGTGCTGTGATAGACGCAGAAAATAAAAGACAGAACATGTGAAGAACTATTTAGCACAGAGGGCTGTTTAAGAGAAGACAGAAGAGCTAGGATGGAAGTGAGGGCCCATGAAGGAAGAGGGGTCTATGCTTTTATCTACTGAATTCAGTGGATAAAACAATCTGCAATTAGACACACAGCCTCTCCCCTTAAAAATGCAACACCAGAGGACAGATGGATACCTGAAGAAAACCTTACAAGACAATGTGGACAGAACACACGTGGAACCCGACAAAAAGTACCAGTGTCTTTGAATCCCAGCACTGCTCTCTCAGACATTCTGAACTGGCCTGGGCTCCAGGGACCCGAGCCCTCCAAATTGAGGCCCAGTAACAGCACTGAGCCAGTTTGATCGGGACCTTAATTCCAGCCCCTCCTACTACTTTCTCTCTCTGAACTTCCAATTCCTCAGATATTGAAGGAACCCAACAACCACCACCTGAGGGTCAAATGTGATAGTAGGTCTAAAGCATCTCAAGGGCCTAGCACTCAGGAGAGACCAATATATGACAGTTCTTACTCTTGAACCCCCTGAGGAAACTAAGCCCAGGTCCCAAGCATCCCCCAACCACTGTGACTCACCCTGGAAGATCTCCTGCCTGGTAGCTGCCACTTTCTCAGGCTGTTTGACTGCTGTGATGGGGGTACTTTCTGCAGGAGCAAATTATACACGTGATGACCAACAGCTGGAGTCACGGGGCAGTGTGGTGGTGACCCCAGTGCTATTACTCAGGGATTATAAATACTAACCCTCCTGAGAGTGGGAAGCAGAAGACATGTGAGAGAGCCCACGTCTGTGTGTATGTGTGTCTCTATTTTCTGGAGCCAGAGGTGGAAAAGATCATTTCCTCCTCCCAGCATAACTGCCACCCACCCTAGTTAGGTTAGTGGCTTTGCAGCCAATGCAGACCCTCCAACAGAGGCCTGGCCTTGATGGCCTCTGGGAGGAGTATAAGTGTTACCTGTTCTCTGCTCTGCCATGGGCGCCGTGGCCAGGGGCACAGACTTGAGGTCAAAAGGTTTTTCTGATGGTTCTAGAGTGTACTGCTGCAGAGCCCTCTCCAGACCAGGGATGGACACAGTCAGACCTGGAGGTGAAGAGAGGTCACCATGCCTGGCAGATAGAGCAAAATGTGCACCAGGGACCACCATGGAGGCCCTGGGGTCCCGAAGTTACAAGTCCTAAGTAGTATGACCCTGAGAAAATCACTTTATTCTCTAAGCCTCTGCATTCTCAGACACATCCTCCCTTACAGGGTAGGTGTGGGGAATAAACATATATACAAAGTGACTTGTAAAGGGTAAAGTACTGTAAAAATAAAGTTTTTATTAATGATGAGCGTTTCAATTCACTGGACAATTTCCACCCAATTCAGGTGTGACCTGAATGACCCGGGACCTCCTGAGGTCACCATGATGCCATGAGGTTGCCAGGCAAGTCCAGCCAAGAGCATCTTGCCTCTGATTTCCCCTGCCCAGGGAGTGATGAGAACCACAGCTCCAGTAAGGTGCTGAGTCCAAGATAGCCAGGGAATGACTCACCATTTAGGATATAGCCTGCATTAAGGGCCTTCTGCTTCTGCTCCAGGACATTTAGGTAGAAGGTGGCTCGGTCCCTTACTTCATTGTCATCATCCATCACACACCTGCAGCCAGGACACAAGGTGGTCCTGACTGGGACCCAGCAGGGATGGCAGGAGGGATCCTGCATGGCTTCATTAGAGGTAAGTCCATAGGGATAACAAGTAGACTAGTGGTGGCCCCAGGCGGAGGGTGGAGGGAGTGAGGAGAGGCCACACTCATGAACACTGAGTTCCCTTTGGGGTGATGAAATGTTTTAAACTCAGGTTGTGGTGATGGTTCCATCACTCTGTGAATATGCTAAAACCCATCAAACTACACATCTTAAATGGGTAAATTGTATGGTATGTGAATTATATCTCAATAGAGCTATTTTTTTTTTGAGCTGGAGTCTCGCTCTGTCACCCAGGCTGGAATGCGGGGCATGATCTCGGCTCACTGCAAGCTCCATCTCCCAGGTTCACACCATTCTCCTGCCTCAGCCTCCCAAGTAGCTGGGACTACAGGCACCCGCCACCACACCTGGCTAATTTTTTATATTTGTAGTAGAGACGGGGTTTCAGCGTGTTAGCCAGGACGGTCTCAATCTCCTGACCTTGTGATCCGCCCGCCTTGGCCTCCCAAAGTGCTGGGATTACAGGCGGGAGCCACTATGCCCGGCTTCAATAGAGCTATTTTTAAAAAATGGACAAAATAATTCAAGTTACCAATTGTCACATCTGGTTGGTGCAATTTGCACAGCATTGTTTTTCATGCTTTTCTATGCTTTCTCTTTTTTTTCTACAATCAGTAGCTGTATAACTTTTCTCTCCCTTTTCAGTTAAAAAAAAATAAAGACAAAGGAAAGCTGCTTGGGTCCAAGGGAACACTGTCCCCATTAGGGCCCCTGGGCCTAGACTCACCTCTTCAGCAACACCAAGATACTGGGTAACATCTCTTCATTCTGGGCTCCAAACTTCGCCAGAGCACTCACAGCACCTGTGTTTAGGAAGCGAATGTGATTTACCCAATGCACCCTGACAACTCACTGTTTGGGCACTTCCAGCACTCAGAATGGGTCTTCAGGCAGAAGAGCCCCAGAGGCAAGAAGTCTCAAGCCAGGAGGCCCAAAGTCACTACCAACAGAGTGAGTGGCTTTGGGTGGATCTTGGCACCATCCCAGGCCTCAACTTCCTTATCTATTTAATGGAGAAGGGCGCCAGATGGGATTAGTAGCTCCCATTCTAAGGTTCCAGGAGCTAATTTCAAATTAACCATGATGAGGTCACAGAAGCTGGCTATAATGTAAAGCTCCTCACCTTCCATATCCAAATGGCGTCAATTTGCAGTTAAGGCTCAGAATAATAAAAATGAGAAAGGGAACAATTACTTAAAGATCATTTATTGCTGAAAGAAGAAAATCTGTCCAGTGGGGGCATGAAAAGAAATTAAAAATAAAGAATAGGAAGGTTGCTCACTGAATTGTAAACTTTATATAAATGGGTGAATTTTATGGCATGTGAATTATATCTCAACAAAGCTTTTTGTTTTTTAGCTAAACATCAACATACAGTGAAAGTTAAAAAAAAAATCACTTAAGGCAAGGCACAGTGGCTCTGTAATCCCAGCACTTTCAGAGACTGAGGCAGGAGGATAGCTTGAGCCCAGGAGTTCGTGACCAGCCTGGACAACATAGCAAGACCCCGTCTCAATTAAAAAAATACTTAAAAAATTATAGGGGTTAAGAACCATGGCCGAGCACGGTGGCTCACGCCTGTAATCCCAGCACTTTTGGGAGGCCGAGGCGGGCAGATGATGAGGTCAAGAGATCGAGACAATCCTGGCCTACATGGTGAAATCCCATCTCTACTAAAAATACAAAAATTAGCTGGGCATGATGGCACACACCTGTAGTCCCACCTACTCGGGAGGCTGAGGCAGGAGAATCGCTTGAACCCGGGAGGCGGAGGTTGCAGTGAGCTGAGATTGCGCCACTGCATTCCAGCCTGGTGACAGAGCGAGATTCCATCTCAAAAAAAAAAACAAAACAAAAAACAAAGAACTGTTCAACTAGATGACATGTAAGGTCCTGCCTACAATATTATGAAAAACAGCTTGTGCAGCAAGAACACTGAGTGCACAAATCCCCACTGGAGGCTCAGGTCCCTTTGCTGGGACATTTATTCAAGGGTAAGCTAAGTTTCCAAGTTCAGCCCTGGCTCAGACCTACCTGCCCGGACCTCCTCATGCTCCAAGACCACTCGGTTATAGATGAAGCGGATGTACTTTGAGGGATTGGTGGTCTTGGGCCCCTCCTGGCCCAGGAGATGTAGAATACGGGTGGCCAGCACTGTGAACTCGCAGTCCTCGATGAACTCGCACAGATGTGACAGCCCTGTCTCCTTGCTCTCTGAGTTCTCTTCAATGATGCTGATGATGCAGTCCACGATAGCGCGCTTATACTCAAAGCCACCCTGCAGAGAGAAGCTGAGCTAAGCAAGGAGCCTGCTCTCTCCAGAAAAGAGTTGAAGACCTGAGCTGGACCAAGGACAGTTGTCCAAACACAGAACTTGGAGACAGGGCACTTGGTTCTCTGGGCCTCTATCACTCTTTCCTGTCAAACAAAAGGCTGGTCAGGTGCAGTGGCTCACACCTATAATCCCAGCACTTTGAGAGGCTGAGGTGGGTGGACCACTTGAGCTCAGGAATTCGAAATCAGCCTGGGCATCATGGAGAGACCCCATCACTACAAAAAATAGAAAAATTAGTTGGGCATGGTGGTGCATGCCTATAATTCCAGCTGCTTGGGGGTCTGAGGTGAGACGATTGCTTGATCCCAGGAGGTTGAGGCTGCAGTGAGCCGTGATCACACCACCACACTCCAGCCTGGGTGACAGATGGAGGCCGGGCGCAGTGGCTCACGTCTGTAATCCCAGCACTTTGGGAGGCCAAGGTGGGTGGATCACCTGAGGTCAAGAGTTTGAGACCAGCCTGACCAACATGGTAAAACCCTGTCTCTACTAAATATAAAAAATTAGCCGGGCGTGGTGGGGGGCACCTGTAGTCCTAGGTACTCGGGAGGCTGAGGCAGGAGAATCACTTGAACCCAGGAGGTGGAGGTTGCAGTGAGCCAAGACCTCACCACTGCACTCCAGCCTGGGCAGCAGAACGAGACTCCTACTCAACAGAAAAAAAAAAAAACTGCTATCATGCATACAGTGTCTCCAAAGTGCTAGGCCTGGCCAGGCATGATGGCTCACACCTGTAATCCCAGAACTTGGGTGGCTAAGGTGGGAAGATCACTTATAGCCAGGAGTTTGAGACCAGCCTGGGCAACCCAGCAAGACCCCATCTCTACTTAAAAAAAACAAACACAATCACCAAAGTGCTGGGCCCATTAGCTGACAACTCACTAAACATTAGTGCCCTTCTACAACAACATTCTTGGGAAACGCAAAGACACTCAAGGCAATGGCTCCTCTACTGCCTAGTCCATGGGCCACTCTGGGGCTGGGTGAAAGGGGTACCATGTATCTGAGGAACAAATCTACTCCATGAACATCTGCTATTGCTCCTAAGAATTAACCCATTTTGTTGAGACGTCCAAGAAAGGTGGCATAAGTGAATCAGTAATTCACGTCGGGAACAGAAATAGAACCAATGTCGTATTATTAGCACCGGTTTCACAAGAAACCACTCCTAGAGCTCCTGGAATGGTCTAGAATATTTCTGCACTAGAGTCCACCAGAAAAGAACATGCATTTTCCCATCTTCTGCACAAGCATCACCTCAGGACATCCAGTTTTTAAAGTCAGGCTGGTGAGTCATAGTTATTACTGTAATTACTAGCAATTGGTACGTGTTTACATGTCCACAAGGAGTTTAAAGGGTTGCAGGCACCATGAAAACCAGTTGGTTAACAGGCTAACATAAGCACACGCACAAAGCTGAGCATGGAGCCAGTGGTCAGGTCACTCCCTGCACCAGGAGACCTGGCATCCCCCGAATGCCCCTGACTCTTACCTCTTCCCGCAGCATGGTGAACAGGAAGTTCATAAGGACGGCGTGTTTGCGAGGATATTTCTGACACAGGGCACTGATGGCCTGGACAACCACCACCTAAATGAAATAGACGTGCATGAGCAGCAGGCCCTGCCACCAAGATGGGGTGACTCAGTTCCCTGAGTGCCCACTGAGTCCTTCCTTAGGTAAGGCCAGGCCTTGGGCATGACACAAGGGCAAGGAGACCAGAGGAACTCAACTCCACGCTTGAAGCTTGAAGGGCACAATCCCTGAGCCCACCCAAGGCAGTGCCAACAGCCCCAGTGTCAGACTCTCAGACTCTGGGTTCCCCAAACTCTGCTCTTCTACTCAGGCTTCTTAAGTCTCCGAGTCCCCTCCACCCAACCTGTCCTGCTTCTCTCCCTACCACTGGCTCCCACTGATGGTTCCCACCCATCATCTCCTCTGGCTCCTTTTTGGTTAAGCCTGTCTCTGGGGTATTCTGTCCTTGGCCGCTTCTCTTCTCACAGTCTCTTCAGCAATCTTATCCCCTCCCATGGCTTTAACCGCCTCTTATATGCCACTGACTCCCAATATTTATCTCCTGTCTGAGCTTAAGACCTGCCTTTTCCAACTGCCTGTCAGACAACTCCACCTGGCGCCCACAGCACTTCAAACTCCACATGTCTGCAACCACAAACATCTCCATCTCCTTCCCCCTCCCTCATCCAATACCCCATCTTTTCCTCCCCTGCAAACTAGTCAAGAGCACCACTGTCAGCTCAAAGTAGAAAATGGCATCATCTCTGTTGACATCCACCCCTCAACCCTCACACCAACCCTGCCAACAGGCATTATCCCTCAAAAAGCTCTTGCACTGTCCCACCTCTCCTACTCCCGCCGGTTCAGGCACCATCCTCTCCTTCTGAATTACTCCAACAGTCTCTTTACCCAGTCACCCCTCCACTCTGCTCCAGAAGGACTCTTTTTTTTTTTTTTTTTTTTTGAGACGGAGTCTCGCTCTGTCTGGAGTGCAGTGGCACGATCTCGGCTTACTGCAACCTCCACCTCCAGGCCAGGTCAAGCGACTCTCCTACCTCAGCCTCCGGAGTGGCTGGGACTACAGGTGTGAGCCACTACACCAGCTAATTTTTTAATTTTTTTAGTAGAGACAGGGTTTCACCATGTTGGCCAGGCTGATCTCAAACTGCTGATCTCAAGTGATCTGCCGACCTCAGCCTCCCAAGTGCTGTGATTACAGGCATAAGCCACCGCGCCCAGCCAATTTTTTTTTTTTTCAGACAAGGTCTCACTCTGTCACCCAGGCTGGAGTGCAGTGGCATGATCATGGCTCACTGCAGCCTCGAACTCCTGGGTTCAAGTGATCCTCACACCTCAGCCTCCAGAGTAGCTGGGACTACAGGTGCGCATCACCACACATGGCTAATTTTTAAAAAAATTTTCTGTAGGCCGAGTGCGGTGGCTCACGTCTGTAATCCCAGCACTTTGGGAGGCCAAGGCGGGTTGATCATGAGGTCAGGAGATCGAGACCATCCTGGCTAACATGGTGAAACACCGTCTCTACTAAAAAATACAAAAAATTAGCTGGGCATGGTGGCGGGTGCCTCTAGTCTCAGCTACTCAGGAGGCTGAGGCAGAAGAATGGCGTGAACCCAGGAGGCGGAGCTTGCAGTGAGCTGAGGTCACACCACTGCACTCCAGCCTGAGCAACAGAGCGAGACTCCAACTCAAAAAAAAAAAAAAAAATTTGTAGAGATGAGGTCTTGCTACATTGCCCAGACTGGTCTCAAAATTCAGGCCTCAAGTGATCCTCCCTCCTTGGCCTCCCAAAGCACTGAGACTACAAGCATGAGCCACCGTGCCCAGACCCAGAAGGATCTAATATGCAAATCTCACTGTGTCATTTCAGCCTGCAAAGCATTCTTGTAACCCACAGGCAGAGTAGACTGCTGCCTACTTTGCATAATCCACACTATAGAATTTACCACAATATATTATTCATATTATTGTTTGCTCTGATTAAAACTCTCCGGTGACATACTTCATTGTTCTATCAATTAACAATTGTGAAATAACAGAATTACAGAAATTGAGAACAAATTAATGGCTGCCAGGGGTTAGGGAATAGAGAGGTAGGAATGGGCCTGACTATGAAGAGGTAACAAGAGTCTTGTGGAGATGGATAGTTGAGTGTCTTCACTGTGGTGGCAATTTTGAAAGTCTCCACATGACATCTTGCATAGAACTTCACATATATACACACAGGAGTTGCCTGTGTAGCTGGTGAAATCTGAATGAGCTCTATGGGTCATGCCAGTGTCACTTTCCTGGTTGACATTGTCCTGTGCTAGTGTAGGATGCTGGCACTGTAGGAGAGGGTTGATGGAGGGGTGCATAGGACTTCTCAGTATATTTCTTTGTAACTTCCTATGAATTATTTCAAAATATAAGCTCAAAAAATATTCACATCCTTCCTCCTGCCCCAAAAGAACACCTTTCCAATGTCTTCCTTGCAATTAAAACTCTTTACCTGACCATGGGCCTTACATGATTGAGCCCTGTCTATTCTGACTTTGTCACCTGCACTGGCCCCACAGCTCTTCCACCCACTGGCCTTCTCTCTCCTTGACTTGCTCCTGCCTTTCCTCCTGGTTCTTTGCACTGATTCAGGTTTGAGCTCAAATGTCACCCTCCAGAAGGGCCTTCCCAGACTGTGCTCTTCCTAGGATCATCCCTGCTGTATTTCTACACTCTTGACTGCAGTACCCATGCCTGAGATGATCTCGTCTACTCCTTTCTTTACCTGTTTACTGTTCCTCTCCCATCCCTAGAAAGGAAGCTCCAGGAGGGCAGTCACCTGCTTTGTTCACTGCTATGTTCCCCTTTTGTCACTCTACATAGCAGACAGCAAGTGCTCAAGAAATACTTGGACAACAAATCAATGAACCCTTAACTGGCCTGGAAACTACTGTTCTTTCAGTACAAGGGGACGATATGGATGGAGGCCTGGAGGCAGGACTACGCACATTTCTCGGAAGGCCAAGTCTCTGCAGAGCAAACTGCTGGCCTCCTCTGAGTCCTCAAGGCTGACCAGCCCCTCAGGTCAGTCCTGGCAGGAAGGCTGTGGCCACAGAGAGCAGGGACAGAGCTCCTTCCTCTGGGGGCCGTGGGTGTCCTGGGGGTAGCAGGTACCTTGAATTCATCCGAGATTTCTGACATGAAGGAGGAGATCTGCTTCATGAGGCGGTCGATGCTGCTCTCGCTGCCCGTCTTAAGGAGGGTGGTGATGGCCAGCGTGGCAATGCTGCGGTTTGAATCTGTGACCAGGTTCTCCAGATCCAGATTACAAGCTGTCACAGCTGACGGATGCTTCATGGCAACCTGTTTTGGGAGGACAGTGACAGAGAGGGCAGGAACCCAATGCTGTCACTACATTTGATGGTTTGGCCCAGTCAGAAGTCCTTTGGATGAGATCATCTCACCATCTAGAAGAAACTAACTGTGACCAGGGCTATTATCCTTCCCAGCCAGGTCAGAGGCTAGGACACACCTCCAGTTGGATCAGACAGCTTCCTCCAACCCCCAAGCTGGACTCTTACCTTATTGAGGGTACGAACAGCAGCATAGCGGAGAGCAGCCTTGGGTGAGCTGCAGAAAAGCTGGAGCACTGTGGGGAGATGGATGCCACATGTCAGGTTGCCTTCACTGCTGGGCAGCTGGGAAAACCGGGGGCTACTGTTCTGACTCAAACCCTCTGCTCAGCTCATTTCCCTGCTGACACCCCCATCCCAACCCAAGACACAGAGCTCCCCTCACCCTGCGCACCTGAGCCATGGACAGAGGCCATAATGTCTGTGAGCACCCAGGGGTTCCAGTGAGGGCTGTTATTCACTGGGCATCTGCTGTGTGCCAGGTGCTGTGCTATACAGTGGACATGCCTCACTTCTATAGCTTGCAGCCACCACTAGCCCACTTTACAGATAAGGAGACTGAGGCACAAAGGGGAAAGCAAACAAACTTTAGGTTGGCAGCCAGTAAGTGGCAGAACCAAGATTAAATTCCAAGACTGCCTGCACCTGCAGCCTAAGCCCTTAACCTCTGTGAAGTAATATTCCACTCCTCTCTCCTACTGTGTCTACAGGATCCAACAGAACTTCCCCCTTGGCACCAAGTGCTGAAGAACAAAGTCCTCTCTTAAACAAATGGTTTATTTCCTTTAACTAGATGAGAGCCATTCGGGTACCATATCCCTCCCTTGCCCTGGCTGCCCGGAAGCTCAGAGCTAAATTTGGCACTCAATCATAGGAGCGAAGATGACTACTGTTTTCTGGAATATCTATGTTCCTTTCTTCATAACTTGGCTTTTATTCTCTAATACTCAAAAAAAATTTTTCTTAATGCTTATTTTGAAGACCCTACTTTATTTACATCTTTCATTATTCTGGAAATATGGGGGATATAATAAGAATGAATGAATACCCAAATCAGTGACTGAATTCATTAGTTCTTTTTCCATTTCTTTTTTTTTTTTTTTTTTTTGAGATAGAGTCTCCCTCTGTCGCCCAGGCTGGAGGGCAGTGGCGCGATCTCGGCTCACTGCAACCTCCACCTCCCAGGTTCAAGTGATTCTCCTGCCTCAGCCTCATGAGTAGCTGCGATTACAGATGCGCACCACCACGCCCGGCTAATTTTTGTATTTTTAGTAGAGATGGGGTTTCACCATGTTGGTCAGGCTGGCCTCGGACTCCTGACCTGGTGATCCCCCTGCCTCGGCCTCCCAAAGCGCTGGGATTACAGGCGTGAGCCACCGTGCCCAGCAGTTCATTCTTTCTTCATTTCTAAGGAGGAAAGGAGACTTCTCTCTCCAAACATGAACTCCATCTGTTTGCCTGACCAAGTTTACACTGTTATAGTAGAGAATAATAGAAAAACAAGAGGCCCAATCATTTCTCAAAACCTGCAAATCTAACTCTCCTGCCACAACATCTTTGCTTTCCATGGGCCTGTTCTAAAACACTCCCCTCTTCTCTTCCACTTTGAATCCAGGTTTCTCACCCTAAGCACCTCTCCTTTTCTAGCCTCTCAACATATCCACTTTCCAGTACCAACCACTTTGCACCTCTTCATAGGCTTTCTCCTCCCTGACAGGGTATTCCCACACCCAGAGCAGGGCCCTGCACAGAGGAGACACCAAAGACTCCAGGACTCAAGGCTGCTGGATTCCCCTTAATAACAGCAAACAACGGCTGGGCGCAGTGGCTCACGCCTGTAATCCCAGCACTTTGGGAGGCCGAGGCGGGCGGATCATGAGGTCAGGAGTTCGAGAACAGCCTGGCCAATATGGTGAAACCCCATCTCAACTAAAAATACAAAAATTAGCCAGGCGTGGTGGTGGGCGCCTGTAGTCCCAGCTACTCGGGAGGCTCAGGCAGGAGAATCGCTTGAACCTGGGAGGCAGAGGTTGCAGTGAGCTGAGATCGCACCACTGCACTCCAGCCTGGGCGACATAGTGAGACTCCGTCTCAAAAAGCAAAAACAAAAAACAGCAAACGGCAAACAACAAACATGTTGCCTTCTAAGCAATTTGTCTAGATCACACATTTTCTGGCTATATAACCCTATGTAATAGGCATGATCTATCATCCACATCTGAGAAAAGAAAAGGAAGGCATGGAGAGGATGGGCGGCCTTGCCAGGCTTGCCCAGTTGGTAAGGGGCAGAGCCAGGGCTCTAACCCAGGCTGCCCTGCTCCAGTGCTGGAGCTGGAGGCTCAGAACGACCCTCTATACTGTTCTCTCCTTCACCTGGAAAAGTGCAGCCCCACTTCACATGCACCAGTTTCACAGATCCTGGGTTCCTCCACCAGGCCTCCTCCTGTGGCCAGCCAACCTGACAGGCTCCAGAGTGGACCCGAGCCTTACCTCAGCCTCTTCAGCAGTCAGATGGAACTAACAGCAGCCCACCACCAAAACGTGATACAAGTGGGGACTCAGCATAGTGTCTGGGGCAGGTGCTTCCTAGGTACAGACTCCTTAACACTTGTTAAGAGCATTTTCTTTCTTTCTCCTAGCCCGGGAACCCAGGCCTAGTTCCCAGCAAGCATAAACATGTGAGGCTGGGTGAAGGAATGCCCAGTGACCTGACACAGCCGGGGCCAGCTCTTTGGCACTGCAGCCTGGCAGATTGACGATGGCCGAGGCGGCTTCATACACCACCATCTCGTGCTTGTTGCGCAAGCAGCTCTCGATGAAGTCAAACAGTGGGCTGTCACGGCTACAAAAGAACATAGGGTGGCAAGAAAACGTTGGGGGTGGCCCAGCATGGTAGGATGAGTGAGGCATCATCTAGCTGGTGAGAGATGAGAGCCGTTACCTGCCATCCTCCTCTTCCAGCTGCTTGCTGGCCACCCGGATCATCATGCAGTAGGCAAAGGGAGACTTAAGGCCATGCCGTGTGACCTTGCTGATCATCTTATTGACGGCTAGGCGGTCATTCTTACGCACATGGTACAGGAGCCCTAGTGCGTGGTACTATAGGACAGGAGACAGCAACAGAGTACAAATGTATGACTTTTGGGTATACTGGCTGTGTGGCCCTGGGTGGGTCCTTCAGCCTTCTCATTTCTAAGATGGGCACAGTAGCAGCTACCACACAGAGTGGCTGTGACAACTGCCCCAGGTACTCTGTGTACACAGCCCTCCACACAATGCTTCACAAACCACAGAAGTATATCTGTGGTTCTTGTTCCCACCCCTGCTTCGGCAAGAGCCCTAACAGGTAGCATAAATACAGATATGGAAAGGGACAACAAACAGCACAAAGATGAAAGCAATGTGGGAGACCTGGTGCTTTCAATCAGACAATGAGAGAGAGAAGGTGGGAGCCAGACCCTGAGCATTGTCATGTTTTGTAAGTCACTGTGTGGGACACCTTAGCCATGAAATCTTGCATTACCCACAACAACCCTGAAGGTAGACAGTTTAATCTTTGCTGACTTGCCCAAAGACTCCTGGCTGGTACTGACAAAGCTAGGCCTGGAGGGCCAGAAGCCCAGAGACTCCCTTTCTAAAGATGTGAGGTCTCATAGTTATTTCCTGTCCTCGATACTCTCTTTTGTTTCCTAAAGGAGCGACATTTGGGGGCAAAGATATGGCAGCTGTGGAAGCCTTCTATGTGGGAAGCTTATCTGGCCCTCATAAGTGTTTTGAGGGGCCACAGCTGGCCCTGAAGACAAGAATCGTGCAAAGGATGAGAAGACAGATGAGAGATAAAGGGAATACATAAACACACAGGGAGCGCCGATAGGCACTCATGACCCAGATGGGTCACATGTTACATGCATGATCTCAGCTCGTCCTTGCTGCTTTGTGAGGCAGTAACCTTCATTCGTATTTTACAGACAAGGAAACCAAGAGCCAGAGAGATAAAAGGAACGGCTGTCCTAGGTCACTGAGGAAGAGTAAAGTGGATGAAAGCCTCATCAAGATAATTCCACACATCATAACAAAGCCAGGCTGGCAAAGGCCTAAATTTAGGCGGCCCTCTGCCTGCCTTGGCCAAGTTTGCCACATCATATGCTCCAAAACAATACTCAGCTGGTTATCAAAATACTTGAATATTTCAGCACCAGCTGGTAAGCAGTCTGTAACCCAAGCGCCCCAAGTGGTACCCTGGATTCTCTAACCCAGGACCTCCTAATTCCTCCCATGATCCAATGACGAAAGGATTAAAGCCTGCTATGGCCAGGGGTCACAAGGATCTCGGTGGCAAGTGTCCATGCCAACTGGCCAGTGCCTTACCACCTGCCTGAGTGTTTTAAATATCACTCCCTTGCTCACATCTCACCTGGACCATGATGTTATCACTGGATGCTGCCTCCTGAGCCTCATTCACCCAGCGCTTGACCACGTCAAAGCTGCACTTCAGCAGGTGCTGTGGGCAACAGGACACATTAAGGGGCAGGTAGGAAGTGTCCCCATCACACATTCTGGGCCCAGTTCTGGTCTTCCCTCAGACACAGCTCAGGGGCTCGCCACTGTCCTGGTCCTCAGAGACCATGGACAAACTCAGGATGCTCCCACCCTCAATGTCCCTCCCCAAGGCATGGGTCAACACCATCCACCCACGACTCTCTTCAATCACCCCAGAGTTTCTTGGCTGTCTTCACTGAGAAGGGTGGGACTCTCAGGCTTACAGATACAGAAATACTTTATTTTGGCCAGGTGCGGTGGCTCACGCTTTGTAATCCCAGCACTTTGGGAGGCCGAGGCGGGTGGATCACTTGAAGTCAGGAGCTCAAGACCAGCCTGACCAACATGGTGAAACTACGTCTCTACCAAAAATACAAAAATCAGTTGGGCGTGGTGGTGCACACCTGCAATCTCAGCTACTCAGGTGGCTGAGGCATGTGAATCGCTTGAGCCAGGGAGGCAGAGGTTGCAGTGAGCTGAAATCGAGCCATTGCACTCCAGCCTGGGCAACAGAGTGAGACTCTGTCTCAAAAAAAAAAAAAGAAGAAAGAGAGGCCAGGCACAGTGGCTCACGCCTGCAATCCCAGCACTTTGGGAGGCCGAGGCGGGTAGATCATGAGGTCTGTAGTTCAAGACCAGCCTGGCCAAGATGATGAAACCCTGTCTCTACTAAAAACACAAAAATTAGCTGGGCACAGTGGCAGACGCCTGTAATCCCAGCTACTCAAGAGGCTGAGGCAAGAAAATCACTTGAACCCCGGCGGCAGAGGTTGCAGTGAGCCGAGATCGTGGCGCTGCACTCTAGCCTGGGTGACAGAGTGAGACTCCGTCTCAATCAAAAAAAAAAAAAGAAAGAAAGAAACACTTTCTTTTTTCCTACTGGAATGTGACTCTTAAATTTTCTTCAATTTTCTACCCCACCCCCAGCAGGGCTCCAGCAGCAACTACACACCAAGGAAGACACGAGGGCAGAGCTGGAGACACTGGGCACCTTGTCCACAATGGCTTGTTTCATGTAGCGCTCAATAGCCTGCAGCATGGTGCTCTGTGGGCAAAAGGAGCAGGGTGGAAGGAGATCCAGTCAGTCCTTGGCAGCTCTCAGGAGTGCAGGAATGGGGGCAGAGATGAGTATGAGGAGGAAGTAAGCGTTTCTCATGTGCTCCTGCACACTGCCTCCACCCCACATCACCTGGCTCAGTGATAGGGGACACCCCAAAGAATGCAAAAGATGATGCCGAGGCCTCAATCAAGAGGCCAGGAAGCAGGGAGGAACCGGCACGACTCACATCAGTGATCTGGCAGAGGGCTCGCACGGCCGGGCCCCGGTAGTTGTCTTCTTTCCCAGTCATGTCTTTTGTTAGGCTGCAGGGAAGAAGGCATTGTCAGCATGCAGAGAGCCTGGGCCTGTTTACTCCTCTCCAGCTCCCAACACCACCCTTGCCCAGATTACTACACGAGCCTCCTAACCAGTGCTCTCCCTCTATTCCTGCCCCTCCAAGCCTAACTCCACACAGCTGCTGGAGGGAGTTTCATAAGACTCAAAACCAAACAGGTCATCCCCCTGCTTTTGCTAAAAAGTTTCCATAGCTTCCTACTGCCAGTGACCTGAATGTAACTCCTTGAACTTCCCTAACTGGCTATGCTCACTCCTCTCCAGCCTTTGCATGTGCTGTTTCCTCAGCCTGTAGCATTCCTCACCCCTCACCTCCACTCTGTCCTACTCTTTTTTTTTTTGAGACAGAGTCTCGCTTTGTCGCCCAGGCTGGAGCGCAATGGGGTGCGATCTTGGCTCATTGCAACCTCTACATCCCGAGCTCAAGCTCTACTGCCTCAGCCTCCCCAGCAGCTGGGACTACAGGCACATGCCACCATACCCGGCTAATTTTTGTATTTTTAGTAGAGAGGGGGTTTCACTATGTTGGCCAGGCTGGTCTTGAACTCCCGACCTTGTGATCCACCCGCCTCGGCCTCCCAAACTGCTGGGATTACAGGCATGAGCCATCACTCCTGGCTTTTTTTTTTTTTTTTTGAGACGCAGTCTCGTTCTGTCACCCAGGCTGGAGTGTAAGTGGCATGATCTCAGCTCACTGCAACCTCCACCTCCCCAGTTCAAGCAATTCTCCTGCCTCAGCCTCCCCAGTAGCTGGGATTATAGGTGTGCGCCACCACACCTGGCTAATTTTTGTATTTTTAGTAGAAACGGGGTTTCACCATGTTGGCCAGGATGGTCTCAAACTCCTGACCTCAAGTGATCCACCCATCGCAGTCTGTGGATTACATTGTGGATACAGTGCTGGGATTACAGGCATGAGCCACTGCGCCTGTCCTGTCCTACTATTTCTTACTCATCCTTCAGGACTCCACTTAGATCATTCCTCTGGGAGGACTTTCGTAATTCTAATCAAGCTGGATGCTCTTCTGGTCTGCTCTCATAGCCCATAATACTTCCGTGATAAACTATATTACACCCTACCTTAATGGCCTGATGCCTGGTTATTTCTCTGTAAATTCTGGGGCTACAGAGGCCATGTCTATCTTTTTTGTTGCTATATCCCCAGAGCTACACACAGGGACTGACAGACAATATTTTCTAACTGAACCTACAAATCAATGTATGACCCCCACAACCTTAAACTGTGGCAGGAAGAAATAAGAGAACTGAGCCCCAGTTCTTAAGGGCAGTGATTACACTTTAGTCACATCTGTCCCTGAATTGCTTAGCTTAAAGCAGACACCAGTCACTTAGTAAGCAGTATACCGCTTGTACTCTCTTGTTTATTTTTCTTGTGTTCTCTCTTTATACTCAAGAAAGTCTTTGGGAAAGTTCTAAGCTGGTTTGGTTGACTAAGAGAAATCAAGAAAAGGAAGCATTTGTGTCCAAGTCAAGGTCAGAGAATTAAAATAGAAACAGCACACCTGGAGGCTGCCATGGGGTGGGCAGTGGTAACAGGGAAGCTGCCACGGGGTGGGCAGCTGGCAATATGCAACCAAGTCTCACTGTCTGGTACACACAAGAAAAAAATGGTCTGTCAATGGAACCCATCAGAAGAGCCACCCACAACCCCATGACTTGCCTGCTGGTGACAATGATGACATCCTCTGCAATGCAAGACATCTCCTTGATGGTCAAGTAGCACATCCGACGGAGTGTGGGCTGGGAGATAGGTGGGAAAAGCCCTATCAGCCCGGGCTCACCAAGGGCCAGAGTTGGGAGAAGATACCTCCTGTCTCCACAAAGGCAGCCCACACTGACTGGTGGGGCCAGCTCTCTTTGGCCCTCCCACCACCTTGTTACAGCTGCCACCTCTCAAGGAAAGCTGGGTTGAGGCACTTACATCATTGGACTGAAAGAGCTTGGTCATGGCAAAGAAGGCCTCGGTCGCTTCCGTGGTCCCCAGGTGCTCCCCCTGTGTTAATCAAGAAAGAAGTCTCAGCTTGGGACAGAGGGTCAGACAGCAGTTCTTTCAGGATCAGCCCACACCAGATCCCCAGACCCTAAAGAGGCTCAAGGGCAACATATGAGACTTGGATGCTGAGGGGACCCAGAGCTGAGCTGTTGTCTACAGCCACACAGAGGCTGTCCAATAGCCTAAGAGTGATCATGATTTGTCCACTCCCCTCCAATCCCCCAGCACCATTCTCCCTACCCGCAAGCTTCACCCTGTTACCTGGTTTATGAGATAAAGAATCTTGGTGAGGATGTGGGCACATTTCCGAGGGTTGATGGGAGTTTCATTAAATACACGGGCCTAAGAAGAAATGACCAAAGATGTTACCTTCTAGCCTAGTTCATTTCCCTTCAAGTATATTCAATGTCTGAGAAGTCTCAGGGTAAACTGACTTGTCTAAACAGGGCTTTCTGGGTATGCAACAAGCTTATTTTCATAAGGAAAGGGTTTGTTTTTCTTTAATCAACTACTAATTATTCTTAGACTCTCGTGTAAATATTAGTTAGGGATGTGCTAACCTATTGACTAGCAGATACTTAGCAACCATCTGCTAACTGGAAACAGAAACAATGAACGACAACAATAAAGAAAGAAGCGGCTGGACGCAGTAGCTCACACCTGTAATCCTAGCACTTTGGGAGGCCGAGGCGGGTGGATCACCTGAGGTCAGTTCGAGACCAGCCTGGCCAACATGGTGAAACCCCGTCTGTACTAAAAATACAAAACTTAGCCAGGCATGGTGGTGGGCACCTGTAATCTCAGCTACTCGGGAGGCCGAGGCAGGAGAATTGCTGGAACCCAGGAGGCGGAGGTTGCAGCAAGCCAAGATCATGCCATTGCACTCCACCCCAGGCTGACACCAGCAAGTCTCCATCTCAAAAAAAAAAAGAGAAGTGGCCGGGCGCGGTGGCTCACGCTTATAATCCCAGCACTTTGGGAGGCCGAGGCGGGAGGATCAAGAGGTCAGGATTCACACCATTCTCCTGCCTGGCCAACATCGTGAAACCTCATCTCTACTAAAAATATAAAAATCAGCCAGGCATAGTGGCGTGCGCCTGTAGTCCCGGCTACTTGGGAGGCTGAGACAGAAAAATTGCTTGAACCCAGGAGGCAGAGGTTGCAGTTGAGCCGAGATCGTGCCACTGCACTCCAGCCTGAGCAACAGAGTGAGACGCCTTCTAAAAAAAAATACATATATATATATATATAAAAAATATATATAATAAAAATAAACAAGTCATGCAAAATCTCTACCTGCATAATGGCCACAGTCTAGCTTAGGTGATAGTTTTAAACCAGTTTCCTTAGCTTTGGAATTAACTTTAAATAGAGAAATTTTTTAAATGTTTAAATAGAGAGGCCAGGCGCGGTGGCTCAAGCCTGTAATCCCAGCACTTTGGGAGGCCGAGGCGGGTGGATCACGAGGTCAGGAGATCAAGACCGTCCTGGCTAACGCGGTGAAACCCCGTCTCTACTAAAAATACAAAAAATTAGCCGGGTGTGGTGGCGGGCGTCTGTAGTCCCAGCTACTTGGGAGGCTGAGGCAGGAGAATGGCGTGAACCTGGAAGGCGGAGCTTGCAGTGAGCCGAGATCACGCCACTGCACTCCAGCCTGAGCGACAGAGCAAGACTCTGTCTCAGAAAAAAAAAAAAAAAAAAAAAAAAAAAGAAGTAAGCATAACTAACTCTCTCCAGAAACAAAGTTTTCCTGTCTTCCAGAAAACTTCCAGGCACAAGTTTTCTCCCGTGTTGCTCTTTAAAACAACACTTTGAATGTGTTGGTATTTCAGTTGCATTGGTGGTGAATATTTATGATGGAAGCTAGAGGGGAGCAAATGTCACTTGCCTCCTGGAGTACCGCACTCTTCTCAAGGTGCTGGAATGGGTTGGAGCCTCCACCTACGGTCAAGGACAATGGAGAAGGTAGGTTGTGACTCTGAACTTCAAAACTCTCCCAGACATAGGTAAAGGGAAGATGTCCCTTCCTAGGAAATCTAGTAAAGTTCAAACTCCTCAGGAATGGCAATCAAGCCTCTACAATCTGTCTAGGGATCCTACTAGTCTCCTGCAAGCAGGTGGGCTCCACTCTACCCCAAACCACTCACAATCTCCCAGCAGCCCTGGTACAGTCCTGTGCTTCTCATGGTGCCATGTCTTGTGTTCATTTATATAACTTGTAATTAACTAAGTCCCTATGTGCCAGGGACCACCATCTCGTTGTAACTAGTTCCTTCATAGCAGATGACACATTTGCAAATAATTACACGTGTGATTATCTGGTTGATGTCTGCCTCCTCCATCGTGGGTGCAACCATTCTAATATTCCTAGCTCAGGCACTGAGTGTCCCACTTGCTCTGTTGCAGTATCCAGGACACCGTACAGTACCTGGCATACAGTAACTGCTCAATATACTTTGCTGAATAAATGAATGATGGGGTCAGAGTTCCCAGTCACAGGACGCTGGCTCCGCAGGTTACACCCCAGTTTGGCCAGCACCAACGTAGCCCCAGCGAATCCCAAGAGGTTGGACGAAGAAAGTAACAAGAGAACATTCGGCATGGTCCCCTCCTTTGACAGATGGGTAAATTGAGGCCTGGGGGGGGGGGTGTTTGTCGCGCCCAAGGTCACCCAGAAAATTGCAGTCCGAGCTTACAAGAGTGAGACAGCCGCGCATGCTCGGGCTCTCCGAGGCCTGCCACTGACTAGCTGTGGACCCTGGCACAAGCCCCTGCCCCTCACTGGGCCTCAGCCTCCGGGTCAGGACAGAGAACCAGAAGGAAAGCTCGGCGGGTGGGGGTCCGGCCTCCCTCAGACCCAGGCCTGGCCCCCTCACCTGACTCCTCATCCTTCTTGTCGAATTTCTTCAACATAGTGGAGTCGGTGGGGCGCAATGCAGCAACGCAATGCTCGACGGGCGCGGCACGGAGTAGCGGTGCCACAGTGGTTCTACAGGGACCACTTCCGGGCCCCGACTGGCCACGTCGCCCAGCGCTCTGCGCAGGCGCATTCCGCGCTCTGCGCCTGCGCTCTTTCCGGTAGCCACAGCCTCGTCTAATGTTAACCTTAGCTCCGCCGGAGCGGGAGTGGGGAAAGCCAGACGGAGGGGCAAGGGCTAGGTGCAGGGGGGTACTGACTAGCATCCCAACTCTGCTCCCTACGCTTCTTTCCGTATACCAAGGGAGGAGGAGGAGCCCCTGCCTCGTTGCGTTGTGGCGTGAGTCTTTGTGGCTTTCGGGTGTGAGGTTGGTGGCACACACTGGCCCGCAGTAAACACCCAATTGATGTGACCGGTCTATGACTGTTATTGCCACCTTCCGAAGGAGCCTTGCCAGCCACTCACTCCTCGCTTTCAGATTCTTTCCCCTGCCTGATTTCCTCCTCAGCTCGAATCGCCATCTAACACTTTATTTTTACTTTCTGGCTTTTATTTGTTTATTTATTTCTCGTTCTGCTGCCCAGGCTGTGGTGCAGTTGTGCGATCCTGGCTCACTGCAGCCTACAGTTCCTGGGCTCAAGCGATCCTCCCACCTCAGCCTCCCGAGTAGAGCTGGGCGCACCACCCCCGACTAATTTTTTAATTTTTGTAGAGACGAGGTCTCACTATGATGTTGCCCAGTCTGGTCTTGAACTCGTGGCCTCAAGCGATCCTCCTTTCTCGACCTTCCAAAGTGCTGGGATTACAGCGGTGAGCCACTGCACCCGGCCACTTTCTTGCTCTTTTGTTTTTTTTTTTGTTATTTGCTTGTTTGTTTGTCTTTTATTCACTGCAGTGGATAATGTTGGCACATAGTAGTTGCTCAGTGAGTTCTCGTTGAATGAATGCGTGCAATTGCATTTTTAATTTATATCTGCCGGGCCCTATCTCGTCTGCTCCTGATGCAAATTGCCTTGTACATTATCAACCTTAAGAGATCTAACTAAACAGCATAGAACTTCTACGTTATTTTGTAAATACTTTGGATATTTATGGAGTGCCAACTAGATGCGCTGCCTACGCGGGGAGGTGGGGGGAAGGGCGTGGGAAGGAACGGAAAGGGGAAAATGACACATCACCCAGGGTTTATCTTCCTGGGGACCTATGCAGGACACCCTGAGGCTAAGGTAAGCACAGTGCATGCCAGTGAGCCAGATTGCATTGGCAATGGCAAAGTCGTGATGGCCAAGCGCTGCGACACGGCCCCAGCTTGCCTGGGGAGGGGAAGCCCGCAGGCCTGTGGGCAGGAGAAGGAGTGGGCTGTGGAGAGGAGAGGCAGGAGGCTGAGGCAGAGGCCCCAGGTGAAAAGGGTGACCGCAAAGCTGGAGGAAGGGAGATGTCAGAGGGGCCAGCCCTTAGGGTCTGGCTTTGCAGAGGCTAGGGCCAAGGACAACAGATCTTGTGACATGCAAAATTGTCAAGAGTCAGAAAGATGTTCAAAATGTCTGATCGGTAACCCCACCCCTAATCAGGAGGAAATTGTTCAAAAGAAGAAAATGAGGCCGGGCGCAGTGTCTCAAGCCTGTAATCCCAGCACTTTGGAAGGCTGAGGCAGGTGGATCACCTGAGGTCAGGAGTTTGAGAGCAGCCTGACCAACATGGTGAAACCCCATCTCTACTAAATACAAAAAAAAAAAAAATTAGCCTGGCGTGGTGGTGCATACCTGTAATCCCAGCTACTCGGGAGGCTGAGGCAGGAGAATCGTTTGAACCTGGGAGGCGGAGGCTGCAGTGAGCTGAGATCACGCCGTTGCACTCCAGCCTGGAGTCTGGGCAACAAAAGCGAAACTGTCTCAAAAAAAAGAAAAAAGAAAATGAAGTTGCCTGCTGCAGCAGTTTGCAGCAAAATAATTGTAAACACCCTAAATGTCTATCAATAAAGGGATGATTAAGGAAGTTATGGTACATCTGAGGACTAAACTGATTTTTATCTTGTCTCAGCTACTCCAGGAGTCTGAGATGGGAGGATTGCTTAAGCCTGGGAGGTCAAGGCTGCAGTGAGCCATGATCATGCCTCTGTACTTCCAGCGTGGGCAACAGAGCAAGACCCTGTCTCAAAAAATACATAGGGGTGGCCAGGCGAGGTGGCTCACGCCTCCAGCACTTGGGAGGCTGAGGAGGGTGAATCACCTGAGGTCAAGAGTTTGAGACCAACCTGACCAACATGGTGAAACCCCGTCTCTACTAAAAATATAAAAATTCACTGGGCATGGTGGCAGATGCCTGTAATCCCAGCTACTCGGGAGGCTGAGGCAGGAGAATTGCTCAGGAGGTGGAGGTTGCCCTGAGCCAAGATCGTGCCATTGCACTCCAGCCTGGGTGACGGGCGAGACTCTGTCTCAAAAAAAAAAAGTGTATATACATATATATATATATACACACACACACACACACACACACACATGCATATATAAATAGGTGTACAATTCAGTGGGTTTTAGTATATTAAAAAAAGTTTATGTACCTGTCCGCACTAATTGGAGAACATTTTCATCATCCCAAAAAGAAAGCTATTCATTAGCAGTCACTTTCCATTTGCCCATCTGCCCAGCCCCTGGCAACCACTAATCTACTTTCTGTCTATAGATTTGCATGTTCTGGATATTTCATATAAACAGAATCATATGCTATGTAGTCTTTTGTGTGTTTTGCTTCTTTCATTTAGCATGTTTTCAAGACATGTTATAGCATGAATCAGTACTTCATTCCTTTTGTAGCTGGATAATATTCCATTTTATGGATTTACTATATTTTGTTTGTTAATCAGTTGATGGACATTTGGCTTGTTTCCAGTCTAGCTCTTGTGAACAAAGCTGTGAATGCTGTGAACATTAATGTACAAGCTTTTGTGCAACCCTATGTTTTAACTTCTCTTGGGTCTATACCTAAGAGTGGTATTACTAGGTCATATGGTAACTATGTTTAACTTTTTGAGAACTGTCTAACTGCTTTTCCAAAGCAGCTGCACCATTTTACATTCCCACCAGCAGTGTATGGGGGTTTCAATTTCTTCATATCCTTGTCAACACTTGTTACTGTCTTTTTGATTATAGCCATGCTAGTGGGTGTGAAGAGGTTTCAATTTGCACTTTCCTGATGGCTACTGATGTTGAGCATCTTTTCATGTGCTTATTGGTCATTTGTACATCTTCTTTGAAAAAATAGCTGTTCATATCCCTTGCTCGTTTTAAAATTATTTTATCTTTTTATTTAGAGTTGTATGAGTTATTTAAGTCTAGACCCCTTCTTCTTTTTTTTTTTTTTTTTAGACAGAGTGTAGCTCTGTCACCCAGGCTGGAGTGCAGTGGTGCAATCTCAGCTCACTGCAACCTCTGCCTCCCAGGTTCAAGCGATTCTCATGCCTCAGCCTCCCTAGTAGCTGGGACTACAGGCGTGTGCCACCAGACTCAGCTAATTTTTGTATTTTTGGTGGAGACGGGGTTTCACCATGTTGGCCAGGCTGGTCTTGAACTCCTGACCTCAAGTGATCCTCCCGCCTCGGCCTCCCAAAGTGTTGGGATTACAGGCATGAGCCACCATGCCAGGCCAATAGAGATTATTTTTATGATTCTTTATAACCACCACCACCTTCCATATTCTAAGGATTTCCGCAGCCCTCTTCTGAGATGCACTCTCTTGCCCTCTAGGTGGCACCAACTCTTTAATTTTACCTCTAGTTTTTTAGCGACGGCACAGCTGGAAGAGGCTTGAAGCCCCCATGCCAGGCCCTGTCTGTCCACTAGGGTGACCCAGGGCAGTTTCAGAGTCCGGGGACTAACTCCCTTCAATATAACAGGGAGACTCAGGACTACCCTTGCTTTAGAGGCAGCTTCCAGCCTCATAAAATGAGTTTTCCAGTAAGTCACCTGTTTTCTTGTCCACCCACGCCCACTTTTGAAACTATGCCCTCACTCATTCGGCATTTGTTGAGCACCCACTGTTACATAATACTTGTAAAAATAGCAAGTACTCTATACATATGAGCTGTTGTTAACAAAAATTAGACTTTTTTAGGATGAGATCATGAATATAAGCGCCCCCGCCTTTGCAAACTGTGAAGGGCAACATTGTGCTAAGGTGTGATCATTATTGGGGCAGGAGGACCACAATACAAGTGCTAGCGTTTATCAAGGACTCACCAGGCGAGAAGCACTTCATGTATTTTATCCTGAGCCCACCTAATGAAAGTTCAAAGTAAACATCATGCTGACTTCACTGGCACAAACCTGAATCTCAGACATTATGTACATTGATGAAGGACACATGCCAACTGAATGACACAGCTGGGAATCAAACCAGTTTCCTGGGTTTCCACAGACTGCTACTTACCCTGAATCACAAGCCATCAACTAAAAGGAGAGCTCGGGGTAAAATCAAGGTTTGACCTGGACACACGGTTATTAGACAACCCGGGGTGTCCCATCAGCTTCATAAACATGTTTTCCTTATGCCATTTTTCTTTTTACCCTTTTTATGTATGTATGTATTTATTTATTTTTATTATGTTTTATTTATTTATTTTTGAGACGGAGTCTCGCTCTGTCGCCCGGGCTGGAGTGCAGTGCCACGATCTCAGTTCACTGCAACCCGTGCCTTCCTGGGTTCAAGCGATTCTCCTGCCTCAGCCTCCTGAGTAGCTGGGACTACAGGCGTGCACCACTACACCCAGCTAATTTTTGTATTTTTAGTAGAGACAGGGTTTCACCATGTTGGTTGGCCAGGGGTCTTGACCTCTTGACCTTGTGATCTGCCCACCTCTGACTCGGATAGTGCTGGGATTACAGGCGTCAGCCACCACTCCCAGCCTTATTTATTTATTTTTAAAAATAGAGACAGGGGCCTGGGTGCAGTGGCTCATGCCTGTAATCCCAGCACTTCGGGAGACCAGGGCAGACGGATCACCTGAGGTTAGGAGTTCGAGACCAGGCTGACCAACATGGTGAAACCCCATCTCTACTAAAAATACAAAAATTAGCTAGGCATGGTGGTGCACGCCTATAATCCCAGCTACTCGGGAGGCTGAGACCGGAGAATCACTTCAACCCAGGAGGCGGAGGTTGCAGTGAGTGGAGATCGCACCACTGCACTCCAACCTGGGCGACAGAGTGAGACTCTGTCTCAAAAAAAAAAAAAAAAACAATGGAGACGGGCCGGGCACGGTGGCTCACACCTGTATCCCAGCACTTTGGGGAGCTGAGGCAGGTGGATCACATGAGGTCAGGAGTTTGAGACCAGCCTGGCCAACATGGTAAAACCCTGTCTCTACTAAAAATACAAAAATTAGCCAGGCATGGTGGTGAGCGTCTGTGATCTCAGCTACTCGGGAGGCTGAGGCAGGAGAATCGCTTGAACCCGGGTGGTAGAGGTTGCAGTGAGTGGAGATTGTGCCATTGCACTCCAGCCTGGGTGACGAGAGAGAAACTCCGTCTCAAAAAAATAAATAAATAAATAAATAAAAATAATAAAATAGAGACAGGGTCTCACCATGTTGCCCAGGCTGGTATCAAACTCCTGGGCTCACGTGATCCTCCCCCCTCAGCCTCCCAAAGTGTTGGGATTACAGGCATGAGCCACCAAGCCCAACCTATTACACCATTTCTCTGAGCATGCTAACACAATTCTACTGGTAATGATTCCTGAATTTAGCAAGAGGCATTTCCAAGATTACTTAATATAGGCCAGGTGCAGTGGCTCACGCCTGTCATCCCAGCACTTTGAGAGGCCGAGGCAAGAAGTCACCTGCAGTCAGGAGTTCGAGACCAGCCTGGCCAACATAGTGAAACCCTGTCTCTACTAAAAATACAAAAATTAACTGGCCATGGTGGTGCACGCCTATAGTCTCAGCTACTCAGGAGGCTGAGGCAGGAGAATTGCTAGAACCTGGGAGGCGGAAGTTGCAGTAAGCCAAGATCACGCCATTGCACTCCAGCCTAGGTGACATAGCGAGACTCCGTCTCAAAAAAAAAAAAGAGATTACTTAATATATTTCATTTTTCTCTTATCAGGAAAAAAACATATATTTTGGAGGGAGGGAGCTTTAGGAACATGCAGCAAAGTAACAAGCAGAAAATCAGCCATTTCTTTTTTCCTTTGTACATTTTTTATTTATGCTTCATTCAAACGAAGGAATATATGTCAACATGTGTAAGTTTTAGACCATAATGATGCCATGAACACCCACGAACTCACCTCCCAAATGCCAATCCGGAACGTTACCAATAACCAGAGCTTCTCCCCTATGCCATCATGCCCTGCCCACCCCAGAGTAACTCTACCATCTTGAAATTTTAACATATTGTCTCCCTCCCTTTTGAAAAAAAAAATACATATATAGACACGCTTAAACAATGAGTTTAGTAGTTTTTGAGCTTTATAAAAATGGTATCATACCATAGGTAGTATTCTAGGACTTGATGTAATCACCATTATCTTTTTCACTACTATATAATATTCTAGGGTGAATATACCACAATGTTCTTACCAATTTTCTTCTTGCTGAGCATTTACATGGTTTCTAGTTTTTTTATTACTAAAAAAATGCTGTTATAAATGTTCTTGTGCCTGTGTTCTCATGCATATATGCAGGATTGCCTCTTGGATACACACCAAGGAGGGGAAATGCCTAGGCTGTTCAACTTTACAGGATGAACAATTGTTTTCCAAAGCGTTTCCACCAATCATACTCCCACCATGGATCCACATCCACTCCAATTTGGTATGATTAAACTCACTTTTTGCCGATCTAGTGGATCTAAATGGTATCTCACTAGGGCCTAATTTGCTTTTCCAGAAGCTGAAAATCTTTTATCTGTTTATTGGACAACCATGATACTTCTCTGAAACTGACTGGATGAAGCCCACCCATGTTACAGAAGTCCAGTTTGCTTTACTCAGTCCACTGATTTCAATGTTTGTCTCATCCAAAAACACCCTCACACAAATATCTAGAATAATGTGTGTGTGGTTTTGTTGTTGTCATTGTGCACGCGCGTGTGTGTGTGCATGTGTGTGTGTGTGTGTGTTTAGAGACAGGGTCTAGTTCTGTCACCCAGGCTAAAGTGCCGTCCATGTGGCAGTATCACGGCTCACTGCAACTTCAACTTCCTGGGCTCAGGCAATCCTCACACCTCAGCCTCCAAAGTAGCTAGGACCACAGTTGCATGCCACCATACCTGGCTAATGTTTTTTTCTTCCATTTTTTTGTAAAGATAGGATTTTGTTATGTTGCCCAGGATAGTCTTGAACTCCTGGCCTCAAGCCATCCTCCTGCCTTGGCATCCCAAAACACTGAGATTGCAGGCATGAGCCACCATGCCCTGCCCTGAATAATGTTTGATCAAATATCTAGGCATCTGACTCCCAGTCAAGTGGACACATAAAATTAACTGCACTTGTTTTTTGTTTGTTTGTTTGTTTTTGAGATGGTGTCTCATTCTGTTGCCCAGGCTGGAGAGCAGTGGCCCAGTCTCGGCTCACTGCAACCTCTACCTCCCGGGTTCAAGAGAGTCTCATGCCTCAGCCTCCCCAGGATTACAGGCATGCTCCATCATGCTCCGCTAATAATAATAATAATAATTATTATTATTATTATTATTTTGAGTCAGAGTTTCTCTCTTGTTGCCCAGGCTGGAGTGCAATGGTGCGATCTCAGCTCACCACAACCTCCGCCTCCCAGGTTGAAGCAATTCTGCCTCAGCTTCCCAAGTAGCTGGGATTACAGGCATGCACCACCACCATGCCCAGCTAATTTTAGTAGAGACGGGGTTTCTCCATGTTGGTCAGGCTGGTCTCAAACTCCCGACCTCAGGCGATCCACCCGCCTTGTCCTCCCAAAGTCAGCATTTGTTTTTTATCATCTTCTGTTTACCTTTGGAATGTAAGTTCCTTGTCTGCCATATCCACAGGGCATGGCACAAAATAGGTACTCAGTACATATCAGTTAAATGAATGAATACCAGAACCAAGATTCCAGCCCCCTGGTCTGAGCAACTCCAGGTTTGCTCTTTTTCTGCAATAAGAAATTCCAGGCTGGGGCCGGGCACGGTGGCTCACGCCTGTAATCCCAGCACTTTGGGAGGCCAAGGCGGGCAGATCACGAGGTCAGGAGATGGAGACCATCCTGGCGAACACGGTGAAACCCTGTTTCTACTAAAAATACAAAAAAATTAGCTGGGCATGGTGGCGGGCGCCTGTAGTCCCAGCTACTCAGGAGACTGAGGCAGGAGAATGGCGTGAACCCGGGAGGCAGAGCTTGCAGTGAGCCGAGATCGCACCACTGCACTCCAGCCTGGGCAACAGAGCGAGACTCAATCTCAAAAAAAAAAAAAAAAAGAAAGAAATTCCAGGCTGGTTGCAGTGGCTCATGCCTATAATCCCAGCACTTTGGGGGGCCAAGGCAGGAGGATCGCTTGAGCCCAGGAGTTCAAGACCAGCCTAGGCAAGATGGCAAGAACCCATTCATACAAAAATTTTAAAAATTAGCCAAGTGTGGTGGCATGTGCCTGTAGTCCACCTACTTGGGAGGCTGAGGTGGGAGGACCACTTGAGCACAGTAATTCAAGGCTGCAGTAAACTGTGATCCTGCTGCTGCACTCCAGATCACTTTACATTGATCACTTAAGGGTTTACTAAGAAGAAAAACATAATGTAACATCTAAAGCCTAATCAATATCTGTGTGCAAATGGTTGAGTTTCTTTTCATGTGATAAAGTTGAAAGAGCCCTGGTCTGGGGATCTGAGGGCACTCTACCTACCCAGCTTCTTATGGATCCTAAGTTCTGAAGCAAATTAACACCATCCTGCTCTTCTGAGTGTGTGACTGTAAGCTGAAGAGGCCTGCAGCAAAGCCTCTAGGTTCCTAAGAGCCAGCTTTCCTGCCACTGTAGAGTAGGAAAAGCAGCCGTCTGCAAGCTCTCCCCACCCTCCAGGAGGACCGGAGGGCTGGTGTGGTGGAATAGCTATTAGTGACTCACCAGGAGCTGGTGACAATTAATAGGAAGGGTTTGGAACATCTCCACCCACCAGCAGACTGAGAATAATGACAGTCCAAAAAACCAAAAGGGAGTGTCTATGATGAGGTCTTCCAGGCCTATGCCCCCCACCCCAACCCCTCAGTGGCACTTCCTTGTTCAAACCATCATAACGTGGGCACAGTAAACATTGGGTTGTACCTGGGTCCATAACATTTTGTAGTCAAAATCTCCTGGAACAAGTCTGCCTTTCCATAATAGCTAAAATCTCCCTGATCATGGAGTGTACACAAATCACTTCGTGTGAATAAAGCAACGTGCATTTGTTGTGCAAGGACTGCCCACTTCGCTACGCCTTGCCCCGATCCCATTCCATCAGCTCCCTGAAGGGTGTTTATGGAGCAATTTGGGAAGGGCCTTGAGCTTAGAAGTCCCCAGGAAGTGCAGCCATTGGATGACTGTTTTCTCATGCAAAACATGTCACTGGGGACCTACTATATGTGAGCTTGGCTGGAAGAGCCCTAAACAGGAGTTGGTGGGTAGGGGAGGAAGAGCACAGAGCTGGATTGCCCAAGAGACACAGTAAACAAGTATTTGCACCCCAGTCAAGCAGGGGCACCAAGGCGAGAGAGCAAGGAAGGGAGGGAGAATACCTGAAATAATTAAATATTTGATATTTACTCCCCAAAAAAGACTCAAAGTAGTCATCAGGAAAAAATATCAGGATATTGCTGGTTTATATTAGTCATTATTTTACTTCAGAACTAGGCAAGCCAGCAGTGCATCCTGGGTAACGTGCAAGCTCCGGAGCCATCCAGCCTGGGCTGTGGTCCGTGCCCTGCCAGAGGTGTTTCTTTCCCAACGTAAAAATAAAAAGAAAACAAAACCCTCTCTCTCACCATCTCCTACTCCTCATTTCTCTCTCCTTCGCAGGAAAGAATATAGACAACCCATAAAAATCTAGAGATGGCTCCTTAAAAAGAGTGGCCCTTACTCACTCCCTGTCTTTGCCTCTTCTCTTCTAGGCCAGCCACTACCCCCACTTCTCCACTAGGATCTGCTCTACCCAATGTCCCTAGCCTTCTCTTTTATATTTTATCTTATTTATTTATTTACTGAGACAAGGTCTGGATCTGTCACCCAGGCTGGAGTGCAGTGACTCAATCATGTTTCACTGCAACCTCGAACTCCTAGGCTCAAGCGACCCTCCCACCCCAGCCTTCCGAGTAGCTGGGACCACAGGCGCACACCACCATACCCGGCTAATTTTTGTATTTTTTGTAGAGATGGGGTCTTGCTATGTTGCCCAGGCTGGTCACAAATTCCTGGGCTCAATTAATCCTCCCACCTTGGCCCCTGAAAATGCTGGGATTACAGACATGAGCCACTGTGCCCAACCATGTGTTGTTTTAAGCAGCTAAGTTTTGAGATCATTTTTAAGTAGCAATAGATAAGTAACATACCATTTCCTTTGGTGAATTCCAAGAAGGGAGTGGTCATTGGTTTCAAATGTTGCTGAAAGGTTGAGCAAGAGAAGTGAAACAAAGTTCCCCCAGAGTCATCACAAAGAGAAAGCTGGGGCTGGGTGTGGTTGCTCACGCCTGTAATCCCAGCGCTTGTGGGGACAAGATGAGAGGGAGAATCGCTTGACACCAGGAGTTTGAGAGCAGGAAGGGCAACATAGTGAGACCCCATCTATACACAAAAAATGTAAAAAATTACTGAGCAGGGTGGTGCACGCCTGTGGTCCCAACTACTTGAGAAGCTGAGGCAGGAGGACTGCTTGAGCCCAGAAGGTAGAGACTGCAGTGAGCTATGATTGTACAACTGCACTCCAGCCTGGGAGACAGACAGACCCTGCCTCAAAAAAAAACACACACAAATAAACCCTACAAAAATCCCTGCACATTTAACGAGATGCTACCTTGTGCCCATTAGGATGGCCACTACCAAAAAAACAGAAGATAGCAATTGTTAGTGAGGATGTAGAGACATTGGAACCCTTTACACTGTTTTGTTTTGTTTTGTTTTGTTTTGTTTTGTTTTGTTTGAGACAGTCTCACTCTGTTGTCCAGGCTGGAGTGCAATGGCGCAATCTCAGCTTACTGCAACCTCCACCTCCTGGGTTCAAGCGATTCTCATGCCTCAGCCTCCCGAGTAGCTGGGATTACAGGTGCCCACCACCATGCCTGGCTAATTTTTGTATTTTAGTAGAGACGGTGTTTCACCATGTTGGCCAAGCTGGTCTTGAACTCCTGACCTCAGGTGATCCACCCGCCTCGGCCTCCCAAAGTGCTGGGATTACAGGCGTGAGCCACCATACCTGGCCTTCCCTTTACACTGTTGAAGGGTATATAAAATGGTACAACTGCTGTGGAAAATTGTAGGGCAGCTCCTAAAAAAAATAAACATTGGATTATAATGTAATTCAGCAATCCCACTTGTGGATATATACCCAAAAGAATGGAAAGCAGGATGTCAGTGAGAATATTTGCATACTCACATTCATTGCCACATTATTCACAATAGCCAAAATGTGGAAGCAACACAAGTGTCCATTGAAGGATACATGGATAAGAAAAATATGGCATATGATGGAATATTATTTAGCCTTAAAAAGAAGGAAATCATTCACTTACTACAATATGGATGAAACTTGAGGATGTTATGTTAAGTAAATAAGCCAGCCATAAAAAGACAAATACGGGCGGGCGCAGTAGCTCATGCCTGTAATCCCAGCACTTTGGGAGGCCGAGGTGGGCGGATCACAAGGTCAGGAGATAGAGACCATCCTGGCTAACACGGTGAAACCCCATCTCTACTAAAAAAAAAAATACAAAAATTAGCCATGCGTGGTGGTGGGCGCCTGTAGTCCCAGCTACTTGGGAGGCTGAGGCAGGAGAATGCCGTGAACCCAGGAGGCGGAGTGCAGTGAGCCAAAACCGTGCCACTGCACTCCAGCCTGGGCGACAGAGCGAGACTCCATTTCAAAAAAAAAAAAAAAAGACAAATACTGTATGATTCCATTTATTTGAGTACCTAAAGTAGTCACACTCAAAGAAACAGCAGAATGGTAGTTGCCAGGGGCTTAGGGAGGGAAATGGAAATTGTTGATGAGTATATACTTTCAGTTTGCAAGATGAAAAAGTTCTAAGATCTCTTATACCACAATGTGAACATAGCTAATGCTGCTGAAGTGTACTTTTTTTTGAGACAAAGTTCACTCTGGTCACCCAGGTTGGAGTGCAGTGGCATGATCTCGGCTCACTGCAACCTCTGCCTCTGGGCCTAAGTGATCCTTCCACCTCAGCCTCCCAAGTAGCTGGGACTATAGGTGTGGGTCGCCATGTGAAGCTAATTTTCATTTTCGTTTTTTTTTTTTTTTGTAGAAACAAGGTTTTGCTATATTGCCCAGTCTGGTCTTGAACTCCTGGGCTCAAGCAATCCGTCTGCTTTCGCCTCCCAAAGTGCTGGGATTACAGGCATGAGTCCCCATGTGTGGCCTAAGTGTACTCTTAGAAATGGTTAGAAATGGGCCAGGCACAGTTGCTTACACCTGTAATCCCAGCACTTGGGGAGGCCAAGGCGGCAGATCACGAGGTCAGGAGATCAAGACCATCCTGGCTAACACGGTGAAACGCCGTCTCTACTAAAAATACAAAAAATTAGCCAGGCGTGGTGGCATGCGCTTGTAGTCCCAGCTACTCAGGCGGCTGAGGCAGGAGAATTGCTTGAACCCGGGAGGTGGAGGTTGCAGTGAGCCGATATATTGCCATTGCACTCCAGCCTGGGCGACAGAGTGAAATGCTGTCTCAAATAAACAAAAAGAAATGGTTAGAAATGGCCAGGCATGGGCCAGGCGTGGTGGCTCACGCCTGTAATCTCAGCACTTCGGGAGGCTGAGGCGGGCAGATCACGAGGTCAGGAGATTGAGACCATCCTGGCTAACACGGTGAAACTCCGTCTCTACTAAAAATACAAAAAATTAGCCGGGCATGGTGGCAGGCACCTGTAGTCCCAGCTACTCAGGAGGCTGAGGCAGGAGAACGACATGAACCTGGGAGGCGGAGCTTGCAGTGAGCCGAGATGGTGCTACTGCACTCCAGCCTGGGCGACAGAGTGAGACTCCGTCTCAAAAAAAAAAAAAAAAGAAAGAAATGGTGGCTCACACCTGTAATCCCAGCACTTTAGGAAGCTTGAGAACATGGCTTGAGGCCAGGAGTTTGAGACCAGCTTGGGCAACATATTGAGACCCCTCTCTATAAAAAAATTTTAAAAAATTTTAAAAATAAGGCTGGGCACAGTGGCTCATGCCTGTAATCCCAGCACTTTGAGGGTGGATCGCTTGAGCCCAGGAGTTCGAGACCAGCCTAGGCAAAATGGCAAAACCCCATATCTACTACAAATACAAACAAAAACTAGCTGGGCATGGTGGTGCGCACCTGTAGTCCCAGCTACTTGGGAGGCTGACCAGGTGGGAAGATCACTAGAGCCTGAAAGGCAGAGGTTGCAGTGAGTCGAGATTGCACCACTGCACTCTAGCCTGGGTGACAGAACGAAACCCTGTCTCACACACACAAAAAGACATGTTTTTAATGGTTAGAATGGAAAAATTTCATGTTATATGATTTTTACCAGAATAAAAAAACATAAACGACACTTTTATTGTCTTCCAGTTTCTGTGGGTAGGAATCCAGGCATAGCTCAGCTGGGGCCTCTGCTCCAGGGTCTCTCATGAGGCAGCACAAGGGCTAGATTCTCATCTGTAGGATCAGCTAAAGAAAGACCCTCCTTCAGTATCACATGATCATTGGCAGGACTCAGTTCCTCACATGCTGTGGGACTGAGGGCCTCGGTTGCTCACTGGTTGCTTACCGGCTGTTGGCCAGAGGCTGCTCTCAGTCCCTTGCCACATGGGCCTCTCCAACGCTGCAGCTCGCTTCTCCCCAGTGTGCCAACCAAGAAGGCAAGAGAGAGAGTCTGCTGGCAGAGGGAAGTAATAATTTTTGGTAACCTTATTACAAAGGAGCATCCCATCACCTTTAGTCATAGTCTATTGGGTAGAATAAAGTCACTAGGTCCAGCCCACTTTCAAAGGGAGGAGTTGACACAGGCCATAAACCCCAGGAGGCAGAGATCACTGGAAATCTCTCAGCCTTTCCACAGTGTAAGGACCCAGCAAGAAGATACCATCTACAAACCAGGAAACAGGCCCTCACCAGACAGTGAATCTGTGGACTTCCAACCTCTAGAACTGTGAGAAATAAATTTGTGTTATTTATAAGCTTTTAAAAAAAAAAGAACTATCTTAAGCAGAGAAGGCAAGTGAGTAAAATATAGAAGTATTATTCATATTCATTAAGAAATACGCTTTTTAAGAGGCTGAGGTAGGACGATCATCTGAGCCTGGAAGGTCAAGAGTACAGTGAGCCGTCATCACCCCACTGCACTCCAGCCTGGGTGACAAAGACCCTATCTCAAACAACAACAACAACAATGACAAAAAAAGAAATATGCTTCCTCCTATTTTTCAAGAGATACTTACTGTCTCTGTCTATCTTTCATTTTCCCACTTTATTTTTTTTTTTCTGTCTCTTTTGTAAGAATCAAGATCTTGCTATGTTGCCCAGGCTGGAGTGCTATTAACAGGCACTATCATAGGGCACAGCAGCCTCCAACCCCCAGGCTCAAGGATCCTCCTCTGTAGTAGCTGGGACTATAGGGGTGTACCATTTTCTCACTTTCAACAGTAACATAAACTTAAGAAGTCCTCTCCCTTCTCTTAACTTTACTAGAAGAAAAGCAGTAATGCAAGAGAGATGGTGAATAATATCTGTTAGGCCTCTGGTGGCAGGGATACGATAGAGAGAGGTAGGGACTGAGGCAAATAGGAGAGTGCACACCTCAGGTAACGGGACGGCTGTGAGTCACTGCACCTGGCTGTTGGTATGCAGGAATTCAGGCCCAGAATGGCCAATCTTGAGATTTTTCCAGAGAAACTGGAAATGGAGATTTCAAAAGAAATACTCTGATTTTTAAATTTTTGGCAACAGACTCAACATGTTTTAAAATATTGTGCATGCAGGCCAGGCATGGTGGCTCACACATATAATTCCAGCACTTTGGGAGGCCAAGGCAGGCATATCACTTGAGGTCAGGAGTTCAGAGAACAGCCTGACCAACATGGTGAAACCTTGTCTGCACTCAAAATACAAAAATTAGCCAGGCGTGGTGGCGCATGCCTGTAGTCCCAGCTACTTGGGAGATTGAGGCAGGAGAATCGCTTGAACCTGACAGGCAGAGGTTGCAGTGAGCCAAGACTGCTCTACTGTACTCCAACCTGGGCGACAGAGCGAAACTCTGTCTCAAAAATAATAATAATAATAATTGCGGCCATGTGTGGTGGCTCATGCCTGTAATCCCAGCACTTTGGAGGCCGAGGCAGGCAGATCACAAGGTCAGGAGATGGAGAACATCCTGGCTAACACGGTGAAACCCTGTCTCTACTAAAAATACAAAAAAATTAGCTAGGCGTGGTGGCATGCACCTGCAATCCCAGCTACTCAGGAGGCTGAGGCAGGAGAATTGCTTGAAGCCAGGAGGCGGAGGTTGCAGTGAGCTGAGATCATGCCACTGCACTCCAGCCTGGGCGACAGCGCAAGACTCCGTCTCAAAAAAAAAAAAAAAAGAAAAGAAATTGTGCATGCCAAGATGATGCAGACCAAAGAGAAGGAAAAAAAAAAAAAAAAAAAAAAAGCTTGCTCCAGCCCTGTGATGCTTACAAGTACCACATGGTACCCTCTTCTCTTTTCCTCGGCTTCCGGAGGTCACCTGCCCTGGTTTCTCACTTCCCTTTTTTGCCTGCTGCATCTCACACTGTTTTGCAGGGTCCTTCCTGCTGCCCATTGGATGTTGGCATTTGCTTACGGCTCAGCCCTAGACTTCCTCTTCTCACTCAGCAAGCTTCCCTGGGTGATCTCAATCACTTTCAACCAACCTACCACTGGTGTGCTGATGACACCTAAATCTAGATCCACCACCCAGCCCAGAGCTCCCAACACAGCACAACATAGGAACTGATTTCCTAACTCCACGTTTCCCTAACCAGACTCATCAACCTGTTCCAAGTCCCTGCAGACCAGCTCACCTCTCTCAATGGCACCACTCAGTTGCATAAGCCAGAAATTAGAGCCATCCTTGACATTTTCTTTCCTCTCATTCTCCACATCCAATTCATCCACATCCTTCTTTGTCTCTTCAGCAAATATACATAGAATTCTTCCTGTAGACCAGGCTGCGTATCTGGGGATGAGCAACAAACAGGACCGGGAGTCTCATGCTGTGGGCCAGTAGCTAACATTATGCTCTTTCACTGCAGCAGTCTGGGTTCAATTCCCAGCCAGGAAGTGATTCCTTTAAAAAAATTAAACAAAAATAAAACCAGAAACAAGCCTGTGTGCAGAGCCTCATGCCTGTAATCCCAGCATTTTGGGAGGTTGAGGTGGGTGGATCACCTGAGGTCAGGAGTTCGAGACCAGCCTGGCCAACATGGCAAAACCCCATCTCTACTAAAAATACAAAAATTAGCCAGGCATAGTGGCGTGCGCCTATAGTCCCGGCTACTCGGGAGGCTGAGACAGGAAAATTGCTTGAACCCAGCAGGCAGAGGTTGCAGTTGAGCCGAGATCGTGCCACTGCACTCCAACCTGAGCAACAGAGTAAGACGCCTTCTAAAAAAAAAAAATATATATATATATAATAAAAATAAACAAGTCAGGCAAAATCTCTACCCGCATAATGGCCACAGTCTAGCTGAGGTGATAGTTTTAAACCAGTTTCCTTAGCTTTGGAATTAACTTTAAATAGAGAAATTTTTTAAATTTTTAAATAGGGAGGCCAGGCGTGGTGGCTCAAGCCTGTAATCCCAGCACTTTGGGAGGCCGAGGTGGGTGGATCACGAGGTCAGGAGATCAAGACCATCCTGGCTAACACGGTGAAACTGTCTCTACTAAAAATACAAAAAAATTAGCCAGGCATGTTGGTGGGTGCCTGTAGTCCCAGCTACTTGGGAGGCTGAGGCAAAAGAATGGTGTGAACCTGGGAGGCAGAGGTTTTAGTGAGCCGAGATCGCACCACTGCACTCCAGCCTGGGCAACAGAGCAAGTCTCCATCTCAAAAAAAAAAAATTTATACAACAGAGTTGGGTAAATAAGCACTAAATGGGTTACTATAATGCAATGTGCTTAGAACTGCATCGGGCACACAGTAGGTGCTCAATAAATGCTAGTTATTATTAGAGAAAGTAAGCAAACTCATAAGGGGTAAAAGAGGAAGCTGTGACAGAGATCAAGAGAGGACCTCCTGTCATGGGGATGGGCAGAGAAGCCTTCTGTTAGGAGGCCACGTAGCAGATGAAACCTGAGGAATGAGAAGGCGGGGAGATCGACCAGTGCAAAGACGAAAAGTGGCAAATGGTTTGGACTAAGGTGGAGCAGGGTGGAGAGGGAGGAAAGAGGACCCTTGTCAGATCTATCTGGAAGTAGAATTGACATGGGTGGGTAAAGCAAGACAGTGGAAGGGATCCAAGGTGACACCTCTGTTCCTGGCTTTAATAAGCCAACATCATTGATTGAAATGGATAAACCTCGGACAGCACCAGGTTGGGGGAACAAGCTTCCCAGGAGAGGTGTTCCGTAGCCCATTTCCTGCACGGTCACTAGGATCCATCCTGACCCTCCCACCCTGTGCCACCCTGGTCCCAGTCTGCCTCCCTGGGCTCCTGAAGCAGCCTCCACCCCCTCTACCCCTCTCCAGTCTTCCCTCCACTCTGCAGCCTGGATGGCCTTGTGCACACAAACCTCCAGGCACCCCTGGTGAGCAATTAATTGCTCAGTCTAAGAGTTCAACAAGTGCTTATTGACTGCCGGGTTTATAGGCCGTTGCAGCCAGAAGGAGCCTTAATAGCCACCTACAGTCATGAGCCATGTAACAACATTTTGATCAATGATGGATCGCATATGCAACAGTGGCCCACAAGATTACAATGGCGCTGAAAAATTCCCACCACCTAGTGATGCTGTAGCTGTCTTAAAGTCATAGTGCAATGCATTACTCATGTTTTTGTGGTGATACTAGTGTAAACACACCTACTGTGCTGCCAGTCATAGAAAAGCACAGTACATAATACTTGGTAGTGACCATAAACAATTGTTACTGGTGTATGTATTTACTTTTTTTGTTGTTTTTAAGATGGAGTTGCCCAGGCTGGAATGAAGTGGCTCAATCTTGGGCGTGGTGGCGGTCGCCTGTAGTCCCAGCTACTCGGGAGGCTGAGGCAGGAGAATGGTGTGAACCCAGGAGGCGGAGATTGCAGTGAGCCGAGATTGAGCCACTGCACTCCAGCCTGGGTGACAGAGCAAGACTCTGTCTCAAAAAAAAAAAAAAAAGAATAAGGACATAAATAAATTGGGCAACATAGGGAGACCCCATGTCTACAAAAAAAAAAGAAGGAAAAGAAAATAATTTTGTACAGCTGTACAATGTGTTTGTCTTAAGCTAAGTGTCTAAAGAGTCAAAAAATTAAAAACATTTAAAAGTTTATAAAGTAAAAAAGTTATAATAAGCTAAGCATAATTTGCTATTGAAGAAAGAAAAATATATTTTATAAATTTGTGCAGCCTAAGTATACAACGTTTATGAAGTCTGCCATAGGGCATAGTCATGCCCTCGACCTTCACATTCACTCACCACTCACTCAATGACTCACCAGAGCAACTTCCAGTCCCACAAGCTCCAGGCATGGTAAACGCCCTATAGAGATGCACCATTTTTATCTTTTTTTTTTTAAATTGAGTCAGTCTTGCTCTGTCGCCCAGGCTGGAGTGCAGTGGGGTGATCTCGGCTCACTGCAACCTCCACCACCCAGGTTCAAGTGATTCTCCTGCCTCAGCCTCCCAAGTAGCTGAGATTACAGGCACATGCCACCAAGCCTGGCTAATTTTTGTATTTTTAGTAGAGTTGAGGTTTCAACATGTTGGCCAGGCTGGTCCCATTCAGCCTAGGTGTGCAGTAGGCTCTTCCATCTAGGTTTGTGTAAGTGTACTCTGTGATGTGCACACAACAGAATTGCCTAAGGAGGCATTTCTCGGAACATATCCTCACCGTTAAGTGACACATGACTATACTTTAAACTGTCAGTCATGTGGTCTTTCTGCTTCCACATTCTCACTGCCTGCCCTATCCTTGTGAGAGTCAGTGGGCAGGGCAGCAAGAGACAGGGCTTTAAATTCAAGAACCTGCATTCAGTTCAGGAAAGTTACTTAAGTTCTGGGGACTCTCGACATTTTGTCTGTAAAAGAAAAAGCGTCCTTTTTTTTTTTTTTTTTTTTTGAGACAGAGTCTTGCTCTGTTGCCCAGGCTGGAGTGCAGTGGCACAATCTCGACTCACTGCAAGCTCCGTCTCCCGGGTTCACGCCACTCTCCTGCCTCAGCCTCCGGAGTAGCTGGGACTACAGGCACCCGCCACCACGCCCAGCTAATTTTTTGTATTTTTAGTAGAGACGGGGTTTTACTGTATTAGCCAGGATGGTATCCATCTCCTGACCTTGTGATCCGCCCGCCTCGGCCTCCCAGAGTGCCGGGATTACAGGCGTGAGCCACCGCGCCAGGCCCAAAAAGTGTCCTTTTTAACTGGTGTGTGGGGGGGTCCCAGGTTCAGTGATTTGCTAGGGGGACTCATAGAACTCAGAAAAGCTGCTATACTCATGGTTATAGTTTATTACAGCAAAAGGATACAGATTAAAATCAGCACAGGAAAACGTGTTTAGGGCAGAATCTGGGAGAGAGCAGGTGCGAGTTTCCATGTGGCCTTACCGGAAGAGTTGTAGGGACCGTGCTTCATTCTCCCGTAAGGATGCGTGGTAGCCTGCAGGGAGTGTTGACAACAGGGAAGCTCACCCAAGCCTCAGTGTGCAGGTTTTTTATTGAGGGTCAGTCACACGGCCATGGAGCACCAACCTGCTTGATCTTAGTCTCCAGCATGACCCTGCAACCACGTCAAACTCAGTGTGGCCCAAGACCCGAAGCAAACAGAAACGGACATTCACCCCGAAGCACATTTTTAGCACAAGTATCTGGCAGGGCCCAAGGCCCCAGGTATGCAAAGCCACTCCATCAGGCAGGATATTTCAACTGTTTATAGGTTATCTTCCAGGAGCCGGTCTTTGGGATGTGCAGGGTTTGAGCGTCACAAGCCTGCTGAGTCACCTCTTTACTGCATAGCTTAGTCTGAACAATTACCGTGTGTATCAGCCACAGCCCAGGCAGAAGCAGACAGAATTCAGTACAAGGACTTATTACACAGGAATGGAAGAGCTGGGAAACCAAGCAGGAAGTGGGGAGGGAACTGGGAGATCAGCAACAGGAAGGACAGGAAGCCTCTCTTGCCTCTAGGGTAGAGGTGGAAGTGGAGCCCAGCAGCTGGAGCCATCTGTGGGAACCAAGGTCGTGATGAGGGCCACCTGGTGGGCACTGCAGCCACAGAGAGAGGGGCTGTCCTACTGGGAACCAGTATTCAGAGGAGAATTAGTTGCCGTCCCACCCCAGGCAGAGGGAGAAAGGGAGAAATACCCTGGTTTCTCCCTCCCCCAAGCCACCAGTCTCCCACATGCATCTCCCAGCGGCTGGCCCCGGCCTAAGACAATTGGCAAGGGAGCCTGGGAATGCAGTGTCCACAAGAGTGAGGACTCCTAGGAAATTATCACACAACATTCACTTAGGGCCTTTTCCACTGTGCCTGACACCGTGCCAGGCACATCCACCATTGCCATCCCACACAGTCCTGTATGAGAACTGCCCTGCAAGCAGACACCACCATCTCAGTTTTATGGGTGAGGAAATTTAGGGACTCTGATAAAGAAAAACAGTCTGTTGGGAATGGAAATGGAGCAAGAGGGCTGGAGGAAAAGAAGGAGAGCTGTGGGCTTCACTCGGTCATAGAATGCACAGAATGTCCTGTGAAAACCTTCCAGGGCAGGAAGGACCCCCTGTAGCCAGAGCTACAGGTGGGAAGAGTAGGGTATTCATGAAGCACATTCTTTACTAACTTAACACAGTAAAGGATTTTCTCCTGCCAGCGGCACGGTGGCTCACGCCTGTAATCCCAGCACTTTGGGAGACCAAGCTGGGTGGATCACTTGAGGTCAGGAGTTCGAGACCAGCCTGGCCAACATGGGAAAACGCTGTCTCTACTAAAAATACAAAAATTAGGCCGGGCGCAGTGGCTCACGCCTAATCCCAGCACTTTGGGAGGCCAAGGTGGGCAGATCACAAGGTCAGGAGTTTGAGACCAGCCTGGCCAATATAGTGAAACTCTGTCTCTACTAAAAATACAAAAATTCGCCGGGCGTGGTGGCGCATGTCTGTAGTCCCAGCTACTCGGGAGGCTGAGGCAGAAGAATTGCTTGAACCCAGGAGGCGGAGGTTGCAGTGAGCCCAGATCGAGCCATTGTACTCAGCCTGGATGACAGAGAGCAAGACTCTGTCTCAAAAAAAAAAAAAAAAAAAAAAAAGAATTTCCTCCTGCCTGAAGCCTCATTTCCTTCCTCAATCAAATCGCCCCCACCCATTTCTCCCCCTGGGAAGACCTGGGTTCATTCACAGCAGAAATTGTCTGCACTGAATCTTTTCTTTTTCCCCTTGCTTGCTAGGATGACTTGTGGGTTTAGTTTGTTTCATTTCTCAAAGGCTTATTCACGGCTGTTTTTCATGTCATTTCACCCTGTTCATCAGTGGGATCTTCCCAGGGGTTGCTAATACACAAGGCAGTTAATCACACGTACTCAAGATCCAGGCAGCTGAGGTCTCCCACAGATGGCTTTAAGCACACCTTTGAATGATGCTAACTTCAAGCATTTGTCCTGGCCTTCAAGAAGCACAAAGCCCTTTCCTTCCCACAGCCTACATTTGGCCTAGCACCCTGGCTGAATTTCTTGTGATTTCAGATATCAGTTATCTCCTTTCCCAAAACCCTTGTTCAAAGATTCTGTCTAAATATACTTAATTTTCCTCAGTGTGACAATGCTACAGTGGTGATGTAGGAGAATTGAAATTACCTCCGAATCTTTGAGGGAAGGCCAGGCACGGTGGCTCACGCCTGTAATCCCAGCACTTTGGGAAGGTAAGGTGGGTGAATCATGAGGTCAGGAGATCGAGACCATCCTGGCTAACACGGTGAAACCTCTCTACTAAAAATACAAAAAATTAGCCGGGCGTGGTGGCGGGCGCCTGTAGTCCCAGCTACTCGGGAGGCTGAGGCAGGAGAATGGCGTGAACCCAGGAGGCGGAGCTTGCAGTGAGCGGAGATTGCGCCACTGCACTCCAGCCTGCCGACAACGTGTGAGGGAGCATGCAGTGAGTTGTCTTGTTGGACCTTTGGACGCTGCCTTGAAGTATTAGTTGAGTCAGGAGCTGCGACCCTTATTTTTCAGGCCGTGAGCCTGCCTCCTGAATGTTCTCTGCATTTCCAGAACCTATTCTGAGAAGCTAGCTAGGTCTAGGGACTGCCAGACAGGGAGGGGCTCAGAAGGAGGTTAAAAAATATCGTAGCATTGGAGGACTAACAACCTGTTGCAGACACTCTGACACAACATACACACAATCAGATGTGGTGTCTTGAATTAGATTCAGGACCCTGTTACCCATTTCTAATTATAACTAACATTTGTTTTCACGTACACCATCCAACATAATCCTCACATCCAGCCAGGAAGAGACAGTCAAAGGGAGCAAACATTTGGGCAACCTACATGCTAAAGTGTGCTGTGGGCTTTCCTATGTGTTAATCTTGGTGAATCTTCCCCACAACTCTGCGAAGAAGGTTTTATTACTATCTCCATCTTACAGTGGATGATACAGGCTTAGAGTTGACACAAGAAATGGCAGAGCTGCAATTCCGCCCTGAGTCTTTTGATTCCAAGTCACAGGCTCTATCCACTCCCTGCTCTGGCTTTCCCACAGCAGGGCATGTCATGGGCGGGTGGCCAGCCTGCGCACTCTCCAAGAGCTTCCTCTCCATACAAGGGTGTGCATGAGTCAGAGACACGCTGGCAGGACTAAAAGAAGATGCTTATCATATTACCTTGAATTTGTCTTTCTTTATCCAACCATAACATCTGAAATACACTATGCGTGATAGGATATATATAAAATGTTTCTGTGTGTTTACTATACTTTTTCAAATTAACAATGGACTCCATTGTATTTTGTGGGATTTTTGTTGTTGTTGTTTTTAAGACAGGGTCTCAGGCCGGGCACGGTGGCTCATGCCTGTAATCCCAGCACTTTGGGAGGCTGAGGCGGGCAGATCATGAGGTCAGGAGTTCAAGACCAGCCTGGCCAACATGGTGAAACCCCATCTCTACTAAAAATACAAAAATTAGCTGGGCATGGTGGCACGTGCCTGTAATCCCAGCTACTTGGGAGGCTGAGGCAGGAGAATCGCTTGAACCCAGGAGGCAGAGGTTGCAGTGAGCCAAGACTGCGCCACTGCACTCCAGCCTGGCGACAGAGCGAGACCCCATCTCAAAAAAAAAAAAAAGACAGGTTCTCATTCTGTCACCTAGACTGGAGTGCAGTAGTATGATCTCTGCTCATAGGCTCAAGTGATCCCCCTACCTCAGCCTCCCCAGTAGCTGGGACTACAGGCATACACCATGCCTAGCTAACTTTTTTAAAAAAACAATTTTTGTAGAAATGGGGTATCACTTTGTTGCCAAGGCTGGTCTTGAACTTCTGGCTTCAACTGATCCTCCCGCCTCAGCCTACCTAAAATTGGGATTATAGGCATGAGCCACCATGACTGGCTAACTCCATTGTTTTAAATGTAGAGGTGCTTTACTTGAAAAGGTGACTAAAGGTTTAAAAAATGTATATTACTATTTTAAAATAAGCTTACCTGGCCAGGCACGGTGGCTCACACCTATAATCCCAGCACTTTGGGAGGCTGAAGGAGGATTGCTTGAGCCCAGAAGTTCAAGGCTGCAGTGAGCTATGATTGTGCCACTGCACTCCAGCCCAGGAGACAGACTGAGACCCTGTCTCTAAAAGCAATTCATAAATAAAATACAGCATACCAAAATTTTTAAGTTGTATTTACTATTTCTTCATATCAATAAACAAAATTAGAAGTAGCCCAAGTCTCTCTTACTCCCTGAGATGCCCTGCTCCAGCTGATTTGAACCATGTCAAGTCTAGGATTTACGTTGCTTTTTAAAATTGCAGGGAAATGATCTGCTTGGATTACGTTCAACTTGCAGTCCGTGTTTAGCCATGGCAAAAACAAACTCGAGGGCAGATAATACTCGTTTGGCTTGGCAGAGCTTGCAGAGGAAGTCCTGTGGCTTCCTTCCACGTCCCAGCTTGCTGCAGATCCTCCTTCCGGTGCCCAGTATGCAGTGGCTGCCAGCATGTCCCAGTGCCCTGCTGGCCCTAGGCTGGAGCTGTAACTGAGCAAGAGGCTGTGTCCTAAATAACTCTCACAGTCACCGAGGCTGATTACAATTCTTTCGCAACATAGTCTCTGATTTGCTTTCCAAAGGTCAGAAGCTTGAGCTAATGTGTTTCAGGGACAACCCAGTCAGCTTGTATTTAAAAAAGAGAATTTTTATAATTTGAAAAAGAAGATAGAGCATCCGGAAACTGAGAAAATAAATTAAAAGTTCGTTCCTCCCATTCTTGATGTGTATCTTTTTGGAACATAACAGGAAAGGAAATAAAAATTTTAAAACCCTCAACAGTCTCAGCATTCCTCCTTCAGTCCTCATCCATATAGGACTATAGTTTGATAACACTGTAATTGTAGCAGGATACAAATTTCTGTTCTGTCTTCTCTTCTGTAATAAATTCCAAAAAAGGAAACCTAGCTTTTTATGGGGTAGGAGTTACTTTTTATTCTAAAGGCAGTGCAATATTACATAAAGTTTGAGGAAATTGAAAAAAAATATTCATAAGCCTGTCATCCTTACTTAACAGCTTTTTTTTTTTTTTTTGAAACAAGGTTTGGATCTATTGCCCAGGCTGAAGTGCAGTGGTGTGATCTCGGCTCACTGCAACCTCCACCTCCTGGCCTCAAGTCATCCTCCCACCTCAACCTCCTGAGTAGCTGGGACTACAGGCACCTGCCACCATGCCCAGCTAATTTTTTGTATTTTTTTTTTTTTTTGTAGAGATGGGGTTTTGCCATGTTGCCCAAGCTGGTCTCCAACTCATGAGCTCAAGCAATCCATCCCCCTCGGTCTCCAAAGTGCTGGGATTATAGGCGTGAGCCACCATGCTCAGCCAATTTTTGCATTTTCTTTTATTCTTTTTTTTTTTTTTTTTTGAGACGGAGTCTCGCTGTGTCACCAGGCTGGAGGGCAATGGCACGATCTTGGCTCACTGCAACCTCTGCTTCCTGGATTCTCCTGCCTCAGCCTCCTGAGTAGCTGGGACTACAGGCGCGTGCCACCACGCCCAGCTAATTTTTGTATTTTTAGTAGAGACGGCATTTCACCATGTTGGCCAGGATGGTCTCTGTCTCTTAGAGACCTTGTGATCTGCCCACTTTGGCCTCCCAAAATGCTGGGATTACAGGTGTGAGCCACCATGCCTGGCCTAATTTTTGCATTTTATATCTACACTTTGTCCACTGCATCCATAGTTTGCATCTTTTACATAATAGAACTATTATGATTATTCCCCACAAGTATTCACAAGTATTTATTTTAAAAAGACTATATCCTAGCTTGTAAGTGGTACAGAAAAAAACTAAAATAAAAAAGATTACGTACTTCCTAGCACTCTAAAAAACCCTAAAAAACTTTTAAGTTCTCTTTACCAGTCCTATTCACATGGATATTTTATTTTTACAGTTGTGAATAAAGCAGGAATTCAATTTAATATTTTTGTTGTCATTTTATATTATAAAAAAATTAGTATTTCCTTATAGTCTTTGTCATTTTTTTCCTTAAATTTTCTTTAAGAATTGAAAGAATTACAAAAGTAATTTATGTTTATTTGTTACACACAAAATCCAACATTATGTGAAAGAAAAATTATATCTGCCCCACCTTACCCTAATTTCATCCCCTAAAGTAATAAATATTAACAACATGAAGTGTATAATCCCAAATCTTTTTTTTCTCCATCTTTCCTATATGAACAATATCCAAACTTCCCCATTTTTTTGAGACAGGATCTCACTCTGGTGCCTAAGCTAAAGTGTAGTGGCATGATCTTGGCTTATTGCAGCCTCTACCTGGGCTCAAGAGATCCTCCAACCTCAGGCTCCCAAGTAGCTGGGACTATAGATCTGCACCACCGTACCCGGCTACTTTTTGTATTTTTTTGTAGAGTCGGTGTTTCGTCATGTTGCCCAGGTGGTCTCAAGCTCCTGAGCTCAAGTAATCTGCCCACCTTGGCCTCCACAAGTGTTGGAATCACAGGCATGAGCCACTACATGTGGCCTACAAACCCTTTTCTTAAAACAAAACTGGGGCTGGGAGCTGTGGCTCAGGCCTGCAATCCCAGCACTTCGGGAGGCTGAGGCAGGTGGATTTCTCTAGGTCAGGAGTTTGAGACTAGCCTGACCAACATAGTGAAACCCCCTCTCTACTAAAAAATACAAAAATTATCTGGGCATGGTAGTGTGCGCCAGTAATCCCAGCTACTCGGGAGGCTTAGGCAGGAGATCGGTTGAACCCAGGAGGCAGAGGTTGCAGTGAGTCAAGATTGTGCCACTGCACTGCAGCCTAGGCGACAGAGCAACACTCTGTCTCCAAAAAAAAAAAAAAAAAGGAGACTATGGACTATGTACATTTCTTGGCAACTTGCTTTAAAAAAAAAACAACAAAAAAGGCCGGGCGCAGTGGCTCACGCCTGTAATCCCAGCACTTTGGGAGGCTGACGTGGGCGGATCACGAGGTCAGGAGATCGAGACCATCCTGGCCAACATGGTGAAACCCTGTCTCTACTAAAAATACAAAAAATTAGCCAGGCGACTCCAGCACACACACACAAAAGGTTATAGCAAGTCACATTCCTACCAGCAATGAATGGGAGTTTCATTTTCTCTGAATCTTTTTTTTTGAGATGGAGTCTCATAGTAAGCCTCCTGAGTAGATGGGATTACAGGCACAAGCCACCAAGCCCGGCTAATTTTTTTGTATTTTTAGTAGAAACAGGGGGTTTCACCATGTTGTCCAGGCTGGCCTCAAACTCCTGACCTCAGGTAATCCGCCTGCCTAAGCCTCTCAAAGTGCTGGGTTTTTTTCCCTGAATCTTTGCAAGTACTGGATTTTATTTAGCTTTTAAGTTTATGCCAATCTCACAAAAGAATATTACCATCTCATTATTACCTGAATTTGCATTTCCTTGATGACTAAGGTTGTGTTTCTTGGATTTCCTTTTATGAATTATCTGTACATATTATTTACCCATTTTTCTATTGGATTTTAATTTGTAGAAACTCTTGGTATGCTAACAATATTAACATTTATTGTAGGTATTATAACTTTTTTTTTTTTTTTGAGACAGAGTCTTGCCCTGGCACCTAGGCTGGAGTGCAGTGGCTCGATCTCAGCTCACTGCAAGCTCCACCTTCCAGGTTCACGCCATTCTCCTGCCTCAGTCTCCTGAGCAGCTGAGACTACAGGTGCCCGCCACGACGCCCTACTAATTTTTTTGTATTTTTAGTAGAGACCGGGTTTCACCCTGTTAGCCAGGATGGTCTTGATCTCCTGACCTCGTGATCCGCCCGCGTTGGCCTCCCAAAGTGCTGGGATTACAGGCGTGAGCCACCACGCCCAGCCAACTTTTTTTCTGCTCTATGCTTTGTTCGTTTGACTTCATAGTATCTTTTGTCTCAAAACTTTAAACATTTTAAGTAGTCAAATATGAATATCTTTGCTTGCTTCCATAGCTTCTGGATTCCCTGATAAGCATCATGCATTTTATTTCTTTTGTGTTGTTTTTTCTTTTAAGATATAAGTGGCCAGATGCAGTGGCTCACGCCTGTAATCCCAGTGCTTTGGGAGGCTGAAGGCCAGAGGATCACTTCAGCCCAGGACTTCAAGACCAGCTTGGGCTCAAGTGAGACCTTGTCTCTAAAAAAAAAAAAAGGCCGGGCGCGGTGGCTCACGCCTGTAATCCCAGCACTTTGGGAGGCCAAGGCGGGCAGATCACAAGGTCAGGAGATCGAGACCATCTTGGCCAACACGGTGAAACCCCATCTCTACTAAAAATACAAAAAAAATTAGCCGGGCATGGTGGTGGGTGCCTGTAGTCCCAGCTGCTCAGGAGGCTGAGGCAGAAGAATGGCGTGAACCCGTAAGGCAGAGGTTGCAGTGAGCTGAGATGGCGCCACTGCACTCAAGCCTGGGAGACAGAGCGGGACTCCGTCTCAAAAAAAAAAAAAATGCTGAGGCTTGGGGCTTGTACCTATAATCCCAGATACTCAGGAGGCTGAGGTGAGAGGGTCGTGGGAGCCCAGGATTTCAAGGTTGCAGTAAGCTATGGTCATACCACCACACTCCAGTCTGGATGACAGAGTGAGACCCTGTCTCAAAAAAAAGTAAGATGTAAATATTTCCCATTTGTTGCAATTCTCAAAATTATAAGTACTTTTTTTTTTCTTGAGACGGAGTCTCGCTCTCGCCCAGGCTGGAGTGCAGTGGCGTGATCTCGGCTCACTGCAAGCTCCGCCTTTCGGGTTCACGGCATTCTCCTGCCTCAGCCTCCCGAGTAGCTGGGACTACAGGCGCCGACTGCCACCACGCCCGGCTAATTTTGTTTGCATTTTTAGTAGAGACGGGATTTCACCATGTTAGCCAGGATGGTCTCGATCTCCTGACCTTGTGATCTGCCCACCTCGGCCTCCCAAAGTGCTGGGATTACAGGCGTGAGCCACCGCGCCTGGCCAAAATTATAAGTATTAATGGCTACATAATATCCCATCCAGTGGATGGCCCATAAATTAATTAATAGTAGTCTTCTCTTGTATATTTAGGTTGTTCTTTTTTTTTTTTTTTTTTTTGAGATGGAGTCTTGCTCTGTCACCCAGGCTGGAGTGCAGTGGTGCAATCTCGGCTCACTGTACCCTCCACCTCCCGGGTTCCAGTGATTCTCCTGCCTCAGCCTCCCGAGTAGCTAGGATTACAGGCATGGGCCACCACGCCCAGCTAATTTTTGTATTTTTGGTGGAGGCCGGGTTTCCACCATGTTAGCCAGGATGGTCTCAATCTCCTGACCTCGTGATCCACCCGCCTCGGCCTCCCCAAGTGCTGGGATTACAGGCGTGAGCCACCGCACCTGGCCTATTTTTCATTTTTAATTGAAACATCTTTGTGCACATGCCTTTTTCTACTTATTCAATTAATTACTTTCAATAATTTCCCAGGAGTAAGGCCCTGGGTTTTGAATAGACGTGTAATTTAAAGACAGTAATGTAAAGAAATACCAGCCTAACATCAGCAAAGATTTCATAGTTCAGTATAAAATGACATTTATAATAGACCTAGAGTTTCAAGGGTTGACCACATCAACCCCAAGTGTGCTTGGAACCCACTGCTGGCTGGGCACGGTCGCTCACGCCTGTAATCCCAGCACTTTGGGAGGCCAAGGCGGGTGGATTGCCTGAGGTCAGGAGTTCAAGACCCGCCTGGCCAACATGGCGAAATCCCGTCTCTAATAAAAAACGCAAAAATTAGGGCAGGTGCGGTGGCTCACACCTGTAATCTCAACACTTTGGGAGGCCAAGGCAGGTGGATCACCTGTCAGGAGTTCGAGACCAGCCTGGCCAACATGGTGAAACCTGTCTCATGTGTCCGGGTGAAGAGACCACCAAACAGGCTCTGTGTGAGCAACATGGCTGTTTATTTCACCTGGGTGCAGGCGGGTTGAGTCCGAAAAAGGAGTTAGCACAGGGCGGTGGGATTATCATTAGTTCTTATAGGTTTTGGGATAGGCTGTAGAGTTAGGAGCAATGTTTTGGGGGCAGGGGGTGGATCTCACAAAGTACATTCTCAAAGGTAGGGAGAATTACAAAGAAACTTCTTAAGGGTGGAGGAGATTATAAAGAACATTGATCAGTTAGGGTGGGGCAGAAACAAATCACAATGGTGGAATGTCATCGGTTAAGCTATTTTCACTTCTGTGGATCTTCAGTTGCTTCAGGCCATCTGGATGTATATGTGCAAGTCACTGGGGATATGATGGCTTAGCTAGGGCTCAGAGGCCTGACAAAACCCCGTCTCTATTAAAAATACAAAAATTAGCTGCGTGGTGGCAGGCACCTGTAATCCCAGCTACTCGAGAGGTTGAGGCAGGAGAATCGCTTGAATCCAGGAGGCGGAGGTTGCAGTGAGCCAAGATTGTGCCATTGCACTCCAACCTGGATACAAGAGCGAGACTTCGTTTCAAACAAAAACAAACAAACAAACAAACAAAGACCCAAAAATCAGCAGGGCATGGTGGTGGGTGCCTGTAATCCCAGCTACTCAGAGGCTGAGGCAGGGAGAATTGCTTGAACCCAGGAGGTGGAGGCTGCTGAGAGCGGAGATCATGCCACTGCACTCCAGCATGGGCGACAGAAGGAGACTCAAAAAAAAAAAAGAAAGGAAAGGAAAGGAAAGGAAGAAAGGGAAAGAAAGAAAGGGAAAGGAAGAAAGAAAGGGAAAGGAAGAAAGAAAGAAAGGAAGGAAGGAAGGAAGGAAGAGAAAGAATGAACCCACTGCTGCCCCTGGCTCAGGGTAGAAAAGAAACTGGGTTCCTAGCAGAGGCAGCTGGGATGGAAGAAAAGGATGTCTCTGGATCTCAGAGAAACATCAGGTTTTGAAACAATTTTTGGCCACTGTGGTGTCTGCGGCTATTCAGGACTGATTTGTCCCTTAAAAACTTTACAAGTCAGGGCCGGGCGCGGTGGCTCACGCCTGTAATCCTAGCATTTCGCGAGGCCAAGGCGGATGGATCACCTGAGATCGGGAGTTCGAGACCAGCCTGACCAACATCAAGAAATCCCGTCTCTACTAAAAATACAAAAATTATCCAGGCTTGGTGGCGCATGCCTGTAATCTCAGCTACTCGGGAGGCTGAGGCAGGAGAATCGTTTGAACCTGGGAGGCGGAGGTTGCAGTGAGCCGAGATTGTGCCATTGCATTCCAGCCTGGGCAACAAGAACGAAATTCTGTCTCAAATAAAACAAAACAAACAAACAAAAACTTTACAAGTCAAACTTTCTGGCACTGACGCCCTCCCCAGGAGAAAATGACTCTCAAAGAGGAGCTCCCTCATCCTTCTGCAGAAAAAGAGGTAAGGAAACACAAGAAGTCCTTAGCGCAGAGTCCCAATTCCTCCCTCATAGATGTGAAACGCCAGGATGCTGGAAAGCCACTACGGCCTCTGGCCATGCACCAGTTGTAGTTTTGTGTGTTGGCTGCTCCACTGTTGTCTGCCAGCCCACAGGAGGGAAAGTGAGGCTCCTGGAAGGACGCTCCTTCAGATGGAAGCAGCACTGGAAGAGCCCCAAGTTGAGGTGCATGGGACACAAACTAAGTGAACATATTTTGGATTTAAAAAAAAGAACTTTATAAGTCATGCCTGGGTGTGGTGGCACATGCCTGTAGTCCCAGCTACTTGGGAAGCTGAGGCAGGAGGATGGCTCGAGCCCAGGAGTTTGAGGCTGCAGTGAGCCATGATAGCGCCTATAGATAACCATTCCAGCCTGGGCAATATGGTGAGACCCCCATCTCTCTCTGTCTTTTTGTATTTTTGAGACAGAGTCTGGCTTTGTCACCCAGGCTGGAGTTCAGTGGCGCATCTGGGCTCACTGCAACCACCTGGGTTCAGTCGCCTCCTGGGTTCAAGCAATTCTCCTGCCTCAGCCTCCAGAGTAGCTGGGACTACAGGTTCACACCACCACACCAGCTAATTTTTGTATTTTTAGTAGAGACAGGGTTTCACCATGTTGACTAGGCTGGTCTCAAAACTCCTGGCCTCAAGCAATCCGCCCACCTTGGCAACCCAAAGTGCTGGTATTACGGGCATGAGCCACCAGGCCTGGCTGAGACCCCCATCTCTCTCTCTCTTTTTTTTTTTTTTTTGAGACGGAGTCTTGCTCTGCCACCCAGGCTGGCATGCAGTGGCGCCATCTCGGCTCACTGCAAGCTCCGCCTCCTGGGTTCACACCATCTTCCTGCCTCAACCTCCCGAATAGCTGGGACTACAGGCACCCGCCACCACGCCTGGATAATTTTTTTGTATTTTTAGTAGAGACGGGGTTTCACTGCGTTAGTCAGGATGGTCTCGATCTCCTGACCTTGTGATCCACCTGCCTCGGCCTCCCAAAGTGCTGGGATTACAGGCGTGGGCCACTATGCCCGGCCAAGACCCCCATCTCTTAATTAAAAAAAAAAAAGAAAGAAAAAAAAAGGTAGACATTGTCAAAGTTATTTGGTGTGGTGAGTTACAGTCACTCCACTGGCTTTGATCTAATGATGTGGAAACAGAGGCAACTTTAACAACTACTTATACTTTTTATAAAATTATTCAACATAACAAAACATTGTTCAATATAAAAGTATCTGATCTAGCCAAGTTTCCTGTGAAAACAACAGCACACACAGGCATATCGCTGCAGGATAGGGCCAGACAGTCCCTTCACTTCTAGGTGGGTCCCTTCACTTTGCATTAGGGATGCTCCCTCCCTGCGGCTGCCAGGTGCTCCCTTCCTGTGGAGTGGATCCAGAACAAGAGCTCCCTCATCACGGGGAGGGCCAGAACCCTCAGCCAGAGACTCTCCACCTTCAAGGGTTAGGACAGTGGAGAGACTGCATGCCACTCCTGCTGTGGTGGGCGCAAATGCCACCAAGCTCCGCAAGCTCAGGGCTCTTTTTTTTTTTGAGACGGAGTCTCACTCTGTCACCCAGGCTGGAGTGCAGTGGCATGATCTCAGCTCACTGCAAGCTCCGTCTCCCAGGTTCACGCCATTCTCCTACCTCAGCCTCCTGAGTAGCCAGGACTGCAGGCACCCGTCACCATGCCCAGCTAATTTTTTGTATTTTTAGTAGAGACAGGGTTTCACCGTGTTAGCCAGGATTGTCTCGATCTCCTGACTTCGTGATCCACCCTCCTCGGCCTCCCAGAGTGCAGGGATTACAGGCGTGAGCCACCGCACCCAGCCCCTCAGCTCAGGGGTCTTGCACTCTGGAGCGCGGAATGGCTTTCCAAGATTGATTTCCTTGGGGGTGTTGCCTCACATAAGTTGCTCTGATTGGCTGCCTGCAAATTAGTAAATTTGCAGTATTTTAATACTGCAAATACTGGGACTAGTATGCCAGTCCCAGATATGACAAGTGCACCCCTTGCTCTGATGTAGATTTTATGAATATGTAAGTAGGCAGTCCTAGTATATTGATAGTGATAAAAGATATGTTGACCCTCACTGGGTCACGTAGGGCAGCCCCCATATGTTGGAATTGATAATGTGCTCAGAACTGAGACCTAGGTCACAGTTCATATAACAACCCACTCTACATGCATAAATGAACAGGAAGAAAATCATAATTTCTCATAATTCCGCTAGCTAACAGTTTTTTGAGGTTAGACACATCTATGTATTCATGCATTTGTTGTGATTTTTTTGTCTGTTTTTTTGTTTTTTTGAGACACGGTTTTGCTCTTGTTGCCCAGGCTGGAGTGCAATGGCATGATCTCTGCTCACCGCAACCTCTGGTTCCCAGGTTCAAGCGATTCTTCTGCCTCAGCCACCCGAGTAGCTGGGATTACAGGCACGAGCCCCCACACCGAGCTAATTTTGTATTTTTAGTAGAGACGAAGTTTCTCTATGTTGGTCAGGCTGGTCTCGAATTCCTGACCTCAGGTGATTTGCCCGTCTTGGCCTCCCAAAGAGCTCGGATTACAGGCGTGAGCCACCGCACCCGTCCTATTTTAACTTTTTCAAAATATGTATCTGTGCATATAAAACATCACAACAGGCCAGACGCAGTGGTTTACGCCTGTGATCCCAGCACTTTGGGAGGCTGAGGCAGGCGGATCACAAGAGGTCAGGAGTTCGAGACCAGCCTGGGCAACATGGTGAAATCCCTTCTCTACTAAAGATACAAAAATTAGCTGGGCATGGTGGCAGGCGCCTGTAATCCCAGCTGCTTAGGAGGCTGAGGCAGAAGAATCGCTTAAGCCTGAGAGGCGGAGATTGCATTGAGCTGAGATCATGCCACTGCACTCCAGCCTGGGCTACAGAATGAGACTCCATCTCAAGAAAAAAGAAAAAATTAAAACAAAAAATACAGTAATAAAATTGAGATAATACTATGCATACTGTCGCATACCTTATTTTTCACATAAACACATACTAGTGGACATATTTCTGAGTTTGCCCAGAAATGATTAATTAGGTGTTCTCGAGTAGGTTACTTTCCCCATGCTTCAGTGTTGTCATCTACAAAGATAAAAATATAAGTATCTTTTTTTGAGACGGAGTCTTCGCTCTGTCTCCCAGGGTTGAGTGCAGTGGCGTGATCTCGGCTCATTGCAACCTCCACCTCCCTGGTTCAAGCAATTCCCCTGCCTCCCGAGTAGCTGGGATTACAGGCGCACTCCATCATGCCCAGCTAATTTTTTTGTATTTTTTTTAGTAGAGATGGGGTTTTACCACGTTGGCCAGACTGGTCTCAAACTCCTGACCTCCAGCAATCCGCCCGCCTCAGCCTCCCAAAGTGCTGGGATTATAGGCGTGAGCCACCATGCCCAGCCAAAAATACAAGTATCTTAATCACAAGGAGTATTGTCAGGATTAAATAAAATAATGTCTATAAAGCGCTTAATACAGGTCTAGTAAATTAAGTATTTTTAAATATTTTTCTCCAAAATTTTAAATGGCTGTAGAGCATTTCATTGTTCTGATATACTGGCATATGTATAAATAAACATACATTTACGTACTATAAATGTGTTTATTATTTATGTTATATATTACTTATATATGATATATCTGACATGTATTGATATATTTATATACTGATATATGTATTAATCAAGATTTCATATACATTATATAGTTTATATATATACACACACACACACACACACACAAACCAATTCCTTACCTTTAAACATTTAGGTTGTTTGTTCTTTTTCAAGATTATTAAAAAATCCAGGCCAGGCACAGTGGCTCACACCTGTAATCTCAACACTTTTGGAGGCCAAGGCAGGTGGATCACGTGAGGCCAGGAATTTGAGGCCAGCCTGGGCAACATATGGAGACCCCCATCTCCACAAAACAATAAAATTAAAAAAAAAATAGCTGGGTGTAGTGGTTTGCACCTGTAGTCCCAGCTACTCAAGAGGCCTAGGTGGGAAGATAGCTTGACCCCAGGAGCTCGAGGCTGCATTGTGCTATGATCACACCACTATACCCCAGCCTGGGCAACACAACCAGAACACATCTCAAAATAAATAAATAAAATCATATCTTAAATATTTGTCCAGTTATATATTATATTTCATTTTATTATTTTTTTTAGAGACAGGGTGTCAGTTGTGTAATCCAGACTGGAATATAATGGTGCAATCATAGCTCATTGCAGCCTCCACCTCCTGGGCTCAAATGATCTTTCCACCTTGGCCTCCCAAAGTGCTGAGATTACAGGTGTGAGCCACAGTGCCCAGCTTCATATTGTATTTTAAATACCAAAGTGTTGGCCAGGTGTGGTGGCTCCTGCCTGTAATCCCAGCACTTTGGGAGGCCAAGGTGGGTGGATCACCTGAGCTCAGAAGTTTGAGACCAGCCTGGCCAACATGGTGAGACCCTGTCTCTACTAAAAATACAAAAATTAGCAGGGCATTGTGGCATGTGCCTGTAATCCCAGCTACTCAGGAGGCTGAGGCAGGAGAATCACCTGAACCTGGGAGGCAGAGGTTGCAGTGAGCCGAGATCGCACCACTGCACTCCAGCCTGGGCGACTGAGCGAGACGTTGTCTCAAAAAACAAAACAAAACAAAAAACTAAAGTGTTAACCCAAATTGAAATCAGGAAAAACATCATTGATTATATTTACCCATTTCTAAATGTTTTATAAAAGGAGTCATATAGCGTGTATGATTGTGAGACTCATTCATGTTGTTGCAGGCAGTTGTGCTTAGTTTGTTTTCCCTGCTGTATAGTATTCCATGATCCTACCTGTTTCACCACCTCCTTTTAGTTGCTTATAAAATTTTTAAAAATTGACATGTAGTTTCGCTACATTGCCCAGGACAGATTCAAAGTCCTGGTCTCAAGTGGTCCTCATGCCTCAGCCTTCCAAGTAGCTGGGACTACAGGTGCATGCCACCAGGCCTAGCAGTTGCTTCTGCATTTAACTATGTGTTGCTAATATCCAGATTCTACTAAAAGTCCTAGACTTACATTGATGAGCTAAGGCCAACAAGAATAACCATCATTTTCCTTTGGGTAATTTATTTTGTGGAAATCCTAATAACGTAACAAACACTAAAATTCTTGACTAAGTCAATATCGAAACTCTTAATTTCGGTGAGTTAAAGATTTTTTTCAGCTGAATGCAGTGGCTCACGTCTATAATCCCAGCACTTTGGGAAGCGAAGGCAGGAGGATTTCTTGAATCCAGGAGTTCAGACTAGCCTGGGCAACATAGTGAGACTGCCCCCTATCAAAAAGAAAAAAAAAATTACCCAGGCGTGGTGGTGCACACCTGTGGTCCCAGCTACTCAGGTAGCTGAAGCTGGAAGATCTGGTCTTCCTGGGAGGTTGAGGCAGCAATGAGCCATGATCATGCCATTTGCACTCCAGCCTGGGTGACTCAAAGAGACTGTCTCAAAAAAAAAAAAAAGATTTTGTTTCCATTTTTCTCTCAAGAAACTTTAAAGACTGCCCCAATAAGAATAAAATCATCAACTGAACATTTCAAGAAGGCTTTCTCCTCTGAAGAAGGTTACCTCTACCCTGCAGTTCTTTGCTACCCAATTTTAGTCACAAAACCCTGGAATGGGCCAGGCGCGGTGGCTCACACCTGTAATCCCAGCACTTTGGGAGCCAAGGAGGGCGGATTGCCTGAGGTCAGGAGTTCGAGACCAGTTTGGCCAACATGGTGAAATCTCGTCTCTACCAAAAATACAAAAAAATTAGCCAGGGGTGGTGGCATGTGCCTGTAATCCCAGCTACTCAGGAGGCTGAGGCAGGGGAATTGTTTGAACCAGGGAGATGGAGGTTGCAGTGAGCCAAGATCGTGCCACTGCACTCCAGCCTGGGCAACAGAGAGAGAATCTGTCTCAAAAACAAACAAACAAACAAAAACCTGGAGTGAAAAACACCCTTGCAATCCCAATCCAGTCTCTCATTTTGCAGAAGAGAAAGCAGACTCAGAGGGAGACAGGGACTCTTCCAGGGCCACCAATGAACTGGAGGCAGAGACGCTAAGTTCTGCCACCTTCCTGACTAATGCAACTCTAGTCCTAAGGCCTGGTCATGGCCAGCCCTGCCTCCACCTGCTTGGCTTCCTCTCCTGGTCCTTAAGATGACTGAGCAGAAAGCCCTGGGCAAGCCCAGGTGACTCAGAGCTGAGGGTTAGGAGGGTCAGGGTGGGGTAGTGGGTGGTGCAGGAGTGCCTGGTTATTCACAAGAGGGAGAAAGGCTCTTAGAACGGGAACCTGGGAAGACTTCATGGAGCAGGGCCAGTCGGCTTTGGACTCAGGCCAAGAGCAGCCTAGAAGCTGCACCGGAAGGATCCGAGGAGGCAACTGGTGGGAAGAGAGGGCTGCAGAGGCCGAGTGGAGCCAGCATGGGGCCTCCCTGCCAGTCATGGGGCTGTGGAGTTTTCATTCTGCAAAGCTACAGAGCCACTGAAGGGCTGGTTGGTTTGTTTTCTTTCTTATTTTGGTGGCCAAATGTATATAACAAAATTTGCCATTTTAATCATTTTTAGGCAGCAATTCAGTGACATTAATTATATTATTGTGCAACTATCACTGATAACTATTTCCAAAACTTCTCCATCACCACAAACAGAAACTCTGTACCCATTAAGCAATAACTCCCACTTTCTGTCTCTATGAATTTGTCCCCTTTTATTTATTTTTTTAAGACAGGGTCTTGCTTAGTCGACTACCCAGGCTGGAATGCAGTGGTGCCATCATAGTTCACTGCAGCCTCAAATTCCCTGGATTTTGCCTATTACAGATGTTTCTTATAACTGGAATCATACAATATTTGTCCTTTTGTGCCTGGCACATTTAACCTAGAAATGTTTTTAAGATTCATCCGTGTTGGCTGGGCGCGGTGGCTCACGCCTGTAATCCCAGCACTTTGGGAGGCTGAGGCGGGCGGATCACAAGCTCAGGAGATCGAGACCATCCCGGCTAACACAGTGAAACCCTGTCTCTACTAAAAATACAAAAAAAAAATAGCCAGGCGTGGTGGTGGGCGCCTGTAGTCCCAGCTACTCGGGAGGCTGACGCAGGAGAATGGCGTGAACCCGGGAGGCGGAGCGTGCAGTGAGCCGAGATCGTGCTACTGCACTCCAGCCAAAAAAAAAAAAAAAAAAGATTCATCCGTGTTGTACCTACCATGTATCAGAATTTCATTCCTTTTGGTTTTTGGTGGGGCTGAATATATCATGCTTTTTTTTTTTTTTTTTTTGAGACAGAGTCTAGCTCTGTCGCCCAGGCTGGAGTGCAGTGGCGCAATCTTGGCTCACTGCAGCCTCTGCCTCCCGGGTTCAAGTGATTCTCCTGCCTCAGCCTCCTGAGTAGCTGGGACTACAGGCGCCCACCACCACGCTCGGCTAATTTTTGTATTTTTAGTACAGATGGGGTTTCACCATGTTGGCCAGGATGGTCTCGGTCTCCTGACCTCCTGATCCGCCCACCTCGGCCTTCCAAAGTGCTGGGATTACAAGTGTGAGCCACCACAGCCAGCCAATATCATGCTTTTGTTTGTTTTTATTGTGGTAAAACATACATAACTTAGAATTTATCATTTTAACCATTTTTACATGTAAAATTCAGTGGCATTAAGTGCATTCACATTGTTGTGAGCCATCACAACTCTCCATTTCCGGAATTTTTCATCTTCCCAAACTGATACTCTGTACTCATTAAACACTAACTCCCCATTCTTTCTCACCCCAGCCACTGGCAACCAGTACTTTCTGTCTCAAGGAATTAGACTATTCCGCATACCTCATATAAGTGAAATCTCATTTGTCCATATGTAGTTGGTTTATTTCACTTAGCATACAATTCTCAAAGTTTACCCCTGTTGCAGCATGTGTCAGAATCTCATTCCTTTTCAAGGCTGGATAATATCTCATTGTGTGTGCAATAATACTCCATTCTGCATTTTGTTTATCCATTAATCCATTGTTGGATGTTTGGGTTACTTGTGCCTTTCAGCTATTGTAAATGATGCTGGTATGATGACTGGTATACACAAAACCGTTAAAATCCTTGCTTTTGATTCCTTGCAATATATACGTAGAAATGAAATTGCTGGATCATATGGCGGTTTGGTTTAAATTTTTAAGGACTCATCAAACTGTTTTCCAGAGAGACCCACCAGCAATGCATGAGGGTTCCAATTCGTCCACATTCTTGCCACCACTTGTTATTTCCTATTTTCGTTCCATTTTAAGGCCAAGTAATCTTCCATTGAAGAGTATATACCGTGTTTTGTGTACCTGTTCATCTATTGATGAACATGAGTTGTTTCTGCCTTTTGGCTGTTGTGAACAATGCTAATGCTTCAATGACCATTGGTGTTTGTGTCCCTGTGTTTAATTCTTTGGGGTATACACCTAGGAGTAGAATTGCTGGGTCATATGGTAAGTCTATGTTTAACTTTTTGTTTTGTTCTGTTTTGTTTTTGAGACAGAGTCTCGCTCTGTCGCCCAGGCTGGAGTGCAGTGGTATGATCTCGGCTCACTGCAACCTCTGCCTCCCAGGTTCAAGCGATTCTCCTGCTTCAGCCTCTCGAGTAGCTGGGATTACAGGCACCCACCACCACGCCCAGCTAACTTTTGTAAATTTAGTAGAGACGGGGTTTCACCATATTGGCCAGGCTGGTCTCAAACTCCTGACCTCAAGTGATCCACCCGCCTCGGCCTCCCAAAGTGTTGGGATTACAGGCATTAGCCACTGCGCCTGGCCTGGTTGGATTGTTTTCTAGAGACACCAGCAGTTATTTCTTTGACTTCGGTTTGATTAACTGATGACTAGAAGAGGTGATAAAATTACTGTACTTAGAAAATATTATATGAAATATATCTATATAGGAGGGCTGGGTGCGGTGGTTCACACCTGTAATCCCAGCACTTTGGGAGGCTGAGGTGGGCAATCACTTGAGGTCAGGAATTCAAATCTCTACTAAAAATACAAAAATTAGCCAGACGTGATGACGGGAGCCTGTAATCCCAGCTACTCAGGAGGCTGAGGCAAGAGAATAGCTTGAACCCAGGAAGCGGAGGTTGCAGTGAACGGAGATCGTGCCATTGCACTCTAGCCTGGGTGACAAGAGTGAAATTCTGTCTCAAAATAAAATAAAATAAAAATAAAAACAAAGCTTAGCTAGGCATGGTGGCGGATGCCTGTAGTACCAGCTATTTGGGAGGCTGAGGCAGGAGAATTGCCTGAACCCGGGAGGCAGAGGTTGCGGTGAGCAGAGATCGCGCCAATGCACTCCAGGCTGGGTGACAAGAGCGAAATTCCATCTCAAAGAAAATAAAATAGGCTGGGCACAGTGGCTTACACCTGTAATCCTAACATTTTGGGAGGCCGAGGCGGGCAGATTGCCTGATCTCAGGAGTTCGAGACCAGCCTGGGCAACATGGTGAAACCCTGTTTCTACTAAAATAAAAAAATAAAAAAATAAAATTAGCCAGGCATGGTGGCGTGCGCCTGTAGTCCCACCTACTCGGGAGGCTGAGGCAGGAGAATTGCTTGAACCAGGAGGCAGAGGTTGCAGTGAGCCGAGATCGTGCCACTGCACTCCAGCCTGGCAACAGAGTGAGACTCCGTCTCAAAAAAAAAAATAAATAAATAAAATAAAATAAAAATAAAAACAAAAATTAGCTGGCCAGGCACGGTGGCTCACACCTGTAATCCCAACACTTTGGGGGGCCAAGGCGGGCAGATCACCTGAGGTCAGGAGTTTGAGACCAACCTGGCCAACATGGAGGAACCCTGTCTCTACCAAAAATACAAAAATTGGCCAGGCGTGGTGGCATGCGCCTGTAGTCCCAGCTACTCAGGAGGCTGAGGCAGGAGAATCGCTTGGACCCGGGAGGTGGAGGTTGCAGTGAGCCGAGGTCGCGCCACTGCACTCCAGCCTGGGTGACAGAGGGAGACTCCGTCTCAAAAAAAAAAAAAAAAAAATTAGCTAAGCGTGGTGACAGACGCCTGCAGTCCCAACTACTTGGGAGGCTGAGGCAGGATAATTGCCTGAACCCAGAAGGCGGAGGTTGCAGTGAGCCGAGATCACGCCACTGCACTCCATCCAGCCTGGGCAACAGAGCGAGACTCCATCTCAAAAAAAAAAAAAAAAAATATATATATATATATAGAGAGAGAGAGAGAGTAGAATATTAAAGTATAAGAAAAAAACATAAAATATTTTATGTATTGCTAGTTTCATATAGACTACAAATGTCCTTGAATCAATTAATGCATTCCTTTTATAAAGATTTATATAATGCTATAAAATCCATGATTTATATTTACTTGGCTTGTCCTAGGCTGGGACAGCCTGAGATATTTTGTACGTGGACTCTGCCAACTCATTTGTGTTTATTTCTCAGAAAGACAGTTCCAGAACACAAGCTGATTATCTGAAAGCCTGCTGGATAAAGTAAAATATTTAAAAGCAAACAATGTTTATAGTTGCTCTGATTCAGCACAATTTAGATTCTGTTTTGGCAAAGAAAACTTAACGTTCTGCTACTTCTCAGCCACCATCAATAGGGAGAGCTTCAAGCCCCTTATCCAAGTGACCATCCTTGCAAAGGCAGCCTCTGGAGACAGTGGCTGGCAGCCAGCGTGGACAGGCCTCTCAGGCTGCATCGTGCCTTTATGTCACTTTGGCACATTTGTTTGCAAAATCAGGGCTGACTTGTGTTGTTTTAATTTGAAGCGAAATGAAGGGATAAGAATTCAACTAGAGACTTAAAAAGGAAATAAATTCTGAGCATGAGCTACAACATGGGTGAACCTTGAGGACATCATGCTAAGTGAATAAGCCAGTCACAAAAGGAAAATACTGTATGGTTCTACTTACATGAGGGCCCTAGAGTAGTCAAATTCATAAAGACAGAAGGCAGAATGACAGTTGCTAGGGGGTGGGGGAAGGGAAAATGGGGAGTTAGTGTTTCATGGGGACAGAGTTTCAGTTGAGGAAGACAAAAAAGTTCTGAGATGGATGGTGGTGACGGTTGCCCAACAATGTGAATGTACTTAGTGCCACCGGACTCTTCACTTAAAGTGGTAAATTTTATGTTATGTGTATATATATATACACACACACACACACATATATATATATACGTATATATATGTATATGTATGTGTGTGTGTATATATATATATATATATATATATATATTTTTTTTTTTTTTTTTTGAGATGGAGTCTCACTCTGTCGCCCAGGCTGGAGTGCATTGGCGCCATCTCTGCTCACTGCAAGCTCCGCCTCGCGGGTTCACGCCATTCTCCTGCCTCAGCCTCTCCGAGTAGCTGGGACTACAGGTGCCTGCCACCACGCCCGGCTAATTTTTTTGTATTTTCAGTAGAGACGGGGTTTCACCTTGGTCTCGATCTCCTGACCTCGTGATCCGCCCACCTCAGCCTCCTAAAGTGCTGGGATTACAAGCGTGAGCCACCGCGCCCGGCCATTATGTATATTTTACCACAATAAAACATTCAGATAGAGAATCCACTCCAAAGCTGCAGAAGGCCTTGGCTTGTAAAACAGAAATCTGCTAGCCAAGCATGGTGGTATATACCTGTAGTCCTAGCCACTTGGGAAGCTGAGATGGGAGAATCGCTTGAACCCAAGAGTTCAAGGTTTCAGTGAGCTAGGATTGTGCCACTGCACTCCAGCCTGGGCAACAGAGGGAGACCCTGTCTCTAAAACAGCAACAACAAAAACAACCAGAAATCTGTTTAGTCTTCCTTTAATGAACACTGACCCTTTTAAAAAAATCAACTTAAAATGTAGTGAGGTGGGCAGGGCACAGTGGCTCACGTCTGTAATCCTAGCACTTAGGGAGGCTCAGGCTGGGGGATCACTTGAGGTTAGGAGTTTAAGACAAGCCTGGCCAACATGGTGAAACCCCTTCTTTACAAAAACACAAAAATTAGTTGGGCATGGTGGTACATGCCTGTAGTCCCAGCTACTCAGGAGGCTGAGGCAGGAGAATTGCTTGAACCCAGGAGGTGGAGGTTGCAGTGAGCTGAGATCATGCCACTGCACTCCAGCCTGGGCAACAAAGTGAGACTTGGTCTCAAAAAAAAAAAAAAAAAGTGGTGAGGTGGAGACTTAGAAATTAAAAAAAAAAAATCCTTCCAGATTAAAGTTCTAAGTCAGACTCGGTGTCAGATGCAGTGGGCGCAGGGGGTCAGTATCCAGGGCCATCATTCTGCCACGTACACAATGTGGCCAGGCTGATGACAGGCTCAGCCTGCCTTTGTACACTTGTCCCTTTCAATTTAACAAATGGCTGTAAGCACCTACTCTAGGCCAGCACTAGGGAGACAGAAAATACTTGTGACCCAGTCCTGTCCTAGGAGCAGCCATCCTGGTGGGGAAGCCCCCATGTGTTTCTGTAGAACCTTTCAGCCCAGTACATAGCATACCTGATGGAGTGGGGGCGGGGCTCTGCCAGGGCATCTCCTCCTGAGGGTGTGTGGGTCACTGCCTGCAAAGACTGTGACCCAAGGATGCGTGGTTCACCTGGGAGTTGGCAGGAACGGCAAGCACAAGAGTGGTCCAGGCAGAGTATGTGCAGGGCATGAAGGCAGGAAACTCCCAAAAACTCTCCACAGCCCATGTGGCTGCAGGGAGAGGCAAACCTAGACCACAGAGGCCCACATGGCTTTAGCGTGTCCTGGTGTCATAGAATACTCTGCTTGTATGGTAGGCTCTTGTCATTTGTAGGCTGAAGCAGTCTTAGTTTGGCCTGTTCTCTGGTGACCCTGAAGGTCCAGGACAGTGTTACTTGGTCATTCTGCTAAGGCATAGAGTTGGGCTTTTCTTGGCTGAGAGCGGGAGAACTTTGTTGTTGCCATTGTTTGCTTACCTCACTACGTGGCATTCTCCCGTTGGCAGTGTTTGTGTGTTTATGTTTTGGCAAAGCTCTCTCTAAACACAGCCCTGGTAAAGTAAACTCCATAAGGCTGGGCACAGTGGCTCACACCTATCATCCCAGCATTTTGGGAGGCCAAGGTGGGTGGATTGCTTGAAGCCAGGAGTTCGAGACCAGCCTGGGCAACATAGGGAGACCCTATCTTTACAAAAAATACAGAAATTAGCTGGGACTCACACCTGTGGTCCCAGCTACTGGGGAGGCTGAGGTGGGAGGATCATTTGAGCTTGGGAGGCAGAGGTTGCAGTGAGCCGAGATCATGCCACTGCACTCCAGTCTGGGCAACAGAGAGAGACCCTGTGTCAAAAACAACAACAACAACAACAACTCCATAAGCCAGATGATCCTCTGTGTCATCTGCAGTGCCTGGAACATGCCTGTCACACAGTAGGTTCTCAATAAATGTTTGCTGAGTGTACTTTTTTTTTTTGCAACCCTATTAACTGAAGAATGAATTATTGAATCATTTGCCAGAGTTCTACTGCATTTGGTTCTGTATTCTTCTCTATTGGAGTGTAGCCCGTGGGCAGGGACAGTGTCTCTTTAGTAGGAGCCAAGAATTAAATGAATCCTGTTAAATTACCATGTTACTTATAAGCAAATGCAGGTTCAGGGCTGATGCAGAAACAGAATTTTTGCTAATGTGATTTTGGCTATATGTTTTTTACATTCATTTACATACCAAAATTCGGGTAATATCTACTTTTTAATTCTAAATTTATTCAGTTATTTAGTTTATTTACTTAGTTTTTCTAAAGTTTCAACTAATTAAAATTTCCTAGCTTTATTTTATGATTTTGATCAGAATTTGTATATTATTCCTACCTATTCAAACTGTGTATAAAACCGTATAAAACAGCTTTTCACATGAAGAAATATGATGTCTATTTTAATGCCTCTTTTGTTTTTTGTATAATATAGGTACAGGGGGAATGAAACTAATAATTATTCAGTGGCCAGTAAATACTAGGCTTGAGCTGGGCACTTTTACATATGCAATCTCATTTCATTTAAGCCTCACAAAGTCATGTGAAGATGATCTATGTTTTGGAGACAAGAAAACTGAGCTCACAGAGGTTGAAGAACTTGCTCCAAGATAAAGTCCTGATTCAAACCCTGTTCTGACTGTTTTCAAAATGTATGTTTTTTTGGTATTTCTATAGCACTCAGTAATGGTTATTGGACTGTAAGCAACAGAAATTGTGCATTTAAGGTATGAGGACACTCTGGGCACAGTGGCTCCTGCCTGTAGTCCCAACTACTCAGGAGGCTGAGGCAGGAAGATTACCTGACTCCTGGAGTTTAGGGCTGTAGTGAGCCATGACTGTACCACTGCATTCCAGCCTGGGCAACAGAGCAAGATCCCATCTCTAAATAAATTAACAAAAATTTAAATATAAAGCAACTATTATCAATATGTTAAAGGTTACAACAGACATAATGAATGAAAAGATTAGTTATTGCTGGAGAGAAATGGAAACTTAAAAGTAGCCAGGCTGGGCATGGTGGCTCACACCTATAATCCCAGCAGTTTGGGAGGTCAACATAGGAGGATCACTTGAGGCCAGAAGTTCAAAACCAGCCTGGCCAACATGGTGAAACCCCATCTTTATTAATAATACAAAAATTAGCTGGGCATGGTGGCATGCACTTGTAATCCCAGCTACTTGGGAGGCTGAGGCAGGAGAATCACTTGACCCTGGGAGGTGAAGGTTGCAGTGAGCCAACATTGCGCCACCACACTCCAGCCTGGACGACAGAGTGAGACTCCATCTCAAAAAAAAAAAAAAAAGAAAGAAAAGAAATACCTGAGACTGGGTATTTTATTGAGAAAAGAGGTTTAATTTCTCACAGTTCTGTAGGCTGTACAAGCATGGCACCAGCATCTATCTTATCAGCTTCTGGGGAGGCCTCGGGGAGCTTTCACTCATGATGGAAGGTGAAGCAGGAGCAGGCACATCATCACATGGTGAAGGCAGGAGCAAGACAGTGTAGGGGGAAGGTGCCACACGCTTAAACAACCAATCTTATGATAACTCACTCACCATTGCAAGGACAGCACCAAGCCATGAGGGATCTGCCCCATGACCCAAACCCCTCCACCAGGCCCCACCTCCAACATTAGGGATTACATTTCAACATGAGATTTGAGTGGCGACAAATATCCAAACTATATATCATATGCCCTTAGGGAATTGCAAATTAAAACAAAAATGAGATACTATTACACATCTATTAGAATGGCCAAAATCTAAAACACTGACAATATCAAATGCTGACAAGGATGTTGAGCAACAGGAACTCTCATTCATTGCTCAGGGGAAGGGCAAATGGTACAGACACTTTGGAAGACAATTTGGCAGTTTCTTACAAAAATTAAATATACTCCTACCATATGAACCAGCAATTTGCTTTGTGGTTATTTAACCAAATGAACTGAAAATATGTCCACAAAAAACCTGCACACAGATGCTTATACCAGCTTTATTCATGATTGTCAAAACTTGGAAGCCACCAAGATGTCCTTCAGCAGGTGAATGGATAAACTGTAGTACATTCAGACAATGGAATAGCATTCAGCACTAAAAAATGAACTATCAAGACATGAAAAGACATGGAGGACCCATAAACGCGTATCACTAAGTGAAAGATGCCAATCTGAAAAGGCTACATACTGTGTGATTCCAAATACTGTACATAACAGTCTGGAAAAGCAAAAATACGGAGAAGTCCAGGTTGCCAAGGATTAGGAGAGAGTGATGAATAGGCAGAGCACAGAGATTTTGGGGGCAGTGACAACCACTCTGTATGATACTACAAAAGTGGATACATATCGTTATACTTTTGTCCAAACCCATATAATGTATGGCACCAAGAGTGAACCCTAATGTAAATTATGAACTTTTGGGGGTAATGATGAATCAGTGAAAGTTCATTGATTGTAACAAATCTATCACTCTAGTGGAGATGCTGATCCTTGTTTATGCATGTGTGGGGGCAGGGAATGAATGGGAACTCTGTACTTTCTGCTCAATTTTGCTATGAACTTAAAACTGCTCAAAACAATGTTCTGGGCTGGCCACCATGGCTCACACCTGTAATCTCAGCACTTTGGGAGGCCAAGGCACTTTGCATCACTTTACTCAGGAGTTTGAGACCAGCCTGAGCAACACAGTGAAACTTCATCTCTATCAAAATTTTTAAAAAACCCAATGTTCTGGAATTAGTGATAACAACTAATTTGATGTCATGGCACTATGAATGTACTAAAACCTACTGAATTGTACATTTTAAAAGGGTGGCTTTTATGGTATGTCAATTATATCTCAATAAAGCTGTTATTAAAAAGACACTATTTCACAAGATTATTGTGTGGATTAAACAAGATCATGTGGCATTTTGTATATGTCTGTTATAATACTTGGTAAATACTGTTTTGTAAATACTTGTTGCCTTCTACCCATAGACATTAACAGCTGCAGAGCCTGGCCTGGGCTGTCTTTTCAACTTTAGTTTTATTTTTATATTTTACTTTTTAGAGACAGGGTTTCACTCTGTTGTCCAGGCTGGAGTGCAGTGGCACGATCATGGGTCACTGCAGACTTGACCTGTTGGGCTCAAGCAATCCTCCTGCCTTGGCCTCCTAAGTAAGCTGGGAGTACAAGCACCCACACCACCACTGGCTAAGCTTTGTATCCTCAGTGTTTAGCTTAATACCTGGCATTTGGTGCTTAAGGAAGGAATTGCAGGTGAGAGACAAAGTAGAGAGAAGGACCACAGATGACTCCAAGGCTTCTAATCTGGACTAACAGATGAGTGGTGGCTGACACAGACTTTAAAATGATAAGCTGGTTTTGTTTGCTTGTTTGTATATTTGGTAAAGTACATTGTAGTTTAAATGAGTTGTATTTGAACAGTGTGTGGAAATGCCCGGTTTAATCTATCCAAATTTTAAGTAAAGATACAAGTCCCAAATTCAAAAAGGAGGTGAGGGCTGGGTGTGGTGGCTCACACCTGTAATCCCAGCACTTTGGGAGGCCAAAGCGGGTGGATTATCTGAGGTCAGGAGTTAGAAACCAGCCTGGCCAACATGGTGAAACCCCATCTCTACTAAAAAAAAAAAATACAAAATTAGCTGGGCGTGGTGGCACATGCCTGTAATCCCAGCTATTTGGGAGGCTGAGGCAGGAGAATTGCTTGATCCTGGGAGGCGGAGTTTGCAGTGACCCGAGATTGTGCCATTGCACTCCAGCCTGAGCAACAAGAGTGAAACTCCATCTTAAAACAAACAAACAAACAAAAAAAAAAAAACGAGAGAGAAAGACGTGAGGGGTAAAGCTTGAAAATGTGTCATCAGTCACCAGTGGTCTGTGGGCAAAATCCATCCTGCTAATGGGTTTCATTTGGCCAGAACAATCTTTTAAATAAGTTGCCAACAGTTGAAAATTAGAAGATTCTCAAAAATATCAAGAATTTTAACTTCTGCCAAAAGGTCAGATATCTGGCAACGCTAATCTCGTGTTCCCTAAAGGCAATGACCAGCTGCCCCGAAGTGAGCTTAGTTGGCTCCTTTCATCTTAGATGGGAGTTGAAGCGAAGATTCTGGAGAGCAAGGAGGGACACCGCAAAGGACAGATCCTTCAGAATCACCAGCAAGTGGCCGGGCACGGTGGCTCATGCCTGTAATCCCAGCACTTTGGGAGGCCGAGGCGGGCGGATCACTTGAGGTCAGGAGTTCGAGACCAGCCTGGCCAACATGGTGAAACCCTGCCTCTACTAAAAGTACAAAAATTAGCCAGGCGTGGTGGCTCATGCCTGTAGTCCCAGCTACTCGGGAGGCTGAGGCAGGAGAATGGCGTGAACCCAGGAGGCGGAGCTTGCAGTGAGCCGAGATCACACCAGTGCACTTCAGCCTGGGCGACAATGCGAGACTCCATCTCAAAAAAAAAAAAAAAAAAGAAACACCAGCAAGTACAGATGAGGAGGTGAAAGCAGGCACGGGGTGGCAGGTCTTGCATTCTCTGGCCTTTCTATCTCCTTTTCTGGGTCGCCAATGTTTAGCCTGGCTTCTTGTCTTGTTGCTTCACCATCAAGAATCTCAACGTAGTTGACTTTGGAGGTCATGGACCCTTGTACTTGAAACTCTTTTCTACTCTATCTCTTTTCTCTTTCCCAGCAGAAGGCTAATGGAAACCAGAAATTAAAAGTAGCTCTACTCTTCCTATTTATTCTGGCAAAACTCTTGGACTGAGTAGTATGGGTAATTGAGATACGAAGTTTTGAGATATTTTGCCAAAGTGATTAGCTGACCAAAAATGTTGAGAACCATTGCTTTGTCACATAGGATGAACATGACTGGAATCATTATTATTTATAAGGTCCTGTGGGTTGTTTTCTGATATAATAATAACAACAAAACATTTGAGTAGCACATTACAGTGTAAAAAGTACTTCTTATATATACTTGATTCCAAAGTCACAGACCTCTTGTGGGTAAGTGATAACTTCCTCATTGTATGGCAGTTCCACTTAGAAACTATTCATATTGACATCGATTCCGGAGATTCCAGATTCCATTTGCTGTATCATTGCAAAGGCCAGCATAAAATACAAGCCAACTGCTGTTATCAGCAAATCAAGGTTGGAAGGTACTTAAAAAACAGGAAAAGCGTGTGGAAAATGCCTTGTCTTAGCGACTCTCAAATGCAATGTAATAAATGCTGGCTCTGAGGACAACGTACAAATCAGGCAATCTCAGGTGTGATGCCAAGAGGGAAAATGAGGTATTCATTCAATAATAGTTCATTGGCTGGGCGCGGTGGCTCACGTCTGTAATCCCAGCACTTTGGGAGGCCAAGGTGGGCGGATCACGAGGTCAGGAGATCGAAACAATCCTGGCTAACACGGTGAAATGCCGTCTCCACTGAAAAAAAAAATTAGCCAGGCGTGGTGGCGGGTGCCTGTAGTCCCAGCTACTCGGGAGGCTGAGGCAGGAGAATGGCATGAACCCGGGAGGCGGAGCTTTTAGTGAGCCGAGATTGCACTACTGTGCTCCAGCCTGGGCAACAGAGCGAGACTCCATCTAAAAAAAAAAAAAAATAGTTCATTGAAGGCCCATGTGCCAAGTACGCTATTAGATACCAGGACCTTGTCTACTCTGAGCCTGTAGAGTCTGCTCTTAATTTATTTTATTTTAGGGACAGTCTTGCTCTGTCACCCAGGCTAGAGTACTCTAGGTATGTGCCACCACACTCGGCTAATTTTTATTTTTTAATTTTTTTGTAGAGACAGGGGTCTCACTTTGTTGCCCAGTCTAGTCTCAAAACTCCTGGCCTCAAGTGATCTTACCTCAGCCTCCCAAAGTGCTGGGATTACAGGCGTGAGCCACTGCACCCAGCCTGCAATTTAGAAACATATAATGAAATGATGAGATTTGTTTTCATGAAATGATGAGATTTGTTTTCAAGACCTTCTATAATTTTAGTTGGCAGAGTTAGCTTTTTTTCCTCTCTACTGTGAATCCTAAGATATAATTTCACCTTTTATGCCCCTGTGTAACAACCCAGTGTATTCTCCTTCACATAGAAATAGATTGCTTGGCACAGGGGCTCACTCCTGTAATCCCAGCACTTTGGGAGGCCGAGGCGGGCGGATCACTTGAGGTCAGGAGTTCGAGACCAGCCTGGCCAACATGGTGAAACCCTGCCTCTACTAAAAGTACAAAAATTAGCCAGGCATGGTGGCGGGCACCTGTAGTCCCAGCTACTCAGGAGGCTGAGGCAGGAGAATCACTTGAACCTGGGAGGCAGAGGTTGCAGTGAGCTGTGATCACGCCACTGCATTCCAGCCTGGGAGACAGAGCGAAACTCTGTCTCAAAACAACAACAACAACAAAATTAGCTGGGCATGGTTGTGGGTGCCTGTAATTCCAGCTACTTGGGAGGCTGAGGCAGGAGAATTACTTAAACCCAGGAGGTAGAGGTTGCAGTGAGTCAAGATCGTGCCACTGCACCACTCCAGCCTGGGTGATAAAGTGAGACCCTTCTCAAAAAGAAAAAAGAAAAAAAGAAATATATCAAAGTAGGTATTAGGAGAAAGTGAGTAAGGGTCTATAGGTCTGATGTGAGGAAACTCAAGGAGACTGCTCCTTGGCTTCTCTAGAAAATCTACCACAAGAGATTTAATGTGGCCTTCAAGAAAGACCCTTGGAAGAAACCCTGGAAATGCTAAGACCTTGGCCAATGTCCCCTAACTTCTCAATGGGAAGTTATTTACTGGTTCTTATTCAGCTGAGACCACAACCTATGAGTACTGGAAAGATAACAGGAAGGAAGGGGAAAGGGAGATGTGAAAAAAGAGACAGAAATTAAAGAAAAATTCCACCCTTTAGTTGTGCCTTAGGTCTCCCCGAGTCCCAGTCAATACCCTGGGGCTTAATCCTGCTGCATCATTCTTCCAGTTTTCTATTAATAAAGGAAGTGCAAGGTGCTGTGTGCAGCTGTGAACATGCGGGTGCATACACACACACACACACACAGTTGGATTGTTGTTCAAAACTTGGGATGTTGTCTGTCTATCCTGAATTTTTCAGACATACACACCTTCCTCACCTGCTGCCAAGCAGCCCTATAGACAGTCTCCTGGGAATAGCAGGCCAACAGGAAAAGCTTGCTGAACTGCCAATGTGCAGACATTCACATGTCCCAGGCCCCAGCCCTGCACTCCCTAGGGTTCTTCTGCTCTAACACCACACAGAAGGAATATGAAACAGAAACTTGTTTCTGTCCTCTTTTCTTCTCCCTGCAATCTAAAAAACATTAATTCTCAAGGATATCTGGCCAAAGCATTGATTACTCTACAGAGTTCTTGCTATATTCAAGGGAGGAAACAATCTTGTGTTTTACTTTTAATGGCAATAGTGTATTTCTTGAGAATCTTCTCTTCCAACAGAATTAGCACACAAATCATCAGACAAGTGACCCTCAAGCCTGTAAGATGCCAATATTTCATTAGGTGAGAGGCCCTGAAAATGCTGCCCCATCTCCTGCACTTCTCTTTTACCACCGTTAAACATTCCTTTAGATTATTCCAAGTATGGATTCCCACACTTGGCTACACTTGCATGCCATCAGCTCAGTTTTTGCCAAATCTATTGTTGTGCACCATCTTTCTAAATATTTACAACAAAATCATAGTCCCTGATGGATTGTGGCAGGTCAGTCTTGGAGAGAGAAGGAAATGACCCTGACTGCCCTAGGATGTCCCAAGGAAACTAGCTGTGTATTTGAAGTATCCAAAAGGAAAGAAAAGGGAGGCACAGAAAGGATCGTATTAGCCACCATTTCAGTTTTGTTCAGAGCTAGCTTTGAATTCTGTCACCCAAAGCAAACCTCATTTGGGATAAATCTTCAACATCAGTAACATTTAGTCCCTTGAGAATATTACCTCAAATGGGGAAGTCAAAATCTCAAAAAGAAAATTACTTTCAATCATTATTCGAATACAATAGAAATTCTATGATTGCCTATTCACGTCAAAAATATTTCCTTATATGTAATAAATCAGTGTAGACTTGATTTCAGGATTGGATGTATGAAACTGACAGAAACTGATTTTAAAAATCTTTTATCTTGGTAAAACATTTTGGAATTCACAAAACATTTTCATATATTATGCCTTATTTAATCCTCACCACAGGCCTTTGAAAATATCCAAAGCCCGTTTTCTTTAACATTGTTTGTGGGGCATAGATATAAATTCCATATTCCCAGAAATCCTAGTACTTCCCTTCATGTTTTTGCTATGGTTTGAGGGGAAATTATAAGAAACATTGTATATCAGTTTCTCCATGGCTAATTTGGGGTAACTGCAAAATTCATATAAATAAGCTACTCAAGGTAATCTTGGTCAGTGAGTGTTTTATAAGGTAATTTATTGAAATGAGAGCTGAAGTTTGAATTGTTAGCTCAGCTATGCAGACGGCTTCACTGTGAGCATTGCACCACAGCCAGGCTCTCTCAGTGTAGATCAGAAGGACAGTTCACTGAACTCAGTAGGGCAGTACTGGCTGTGCCAGCTAGTACAATTCACAGCTTTATGGCCAGGACTGCAGAATCATGGCTTCCACTTCCCATCAGGGGAGAAAGCAGCAGCATCTGAGCAGATGAGAACGTTAGAAAAGAAAAGCTGGGCTATTATCTGAAATTGCACTGGCTTTGACTTGTCCAAAAGCTATTTCCCCTTGCAAAGTCACTTCGTGAGCACTGACTGTACCAGAATAATCAGCATGCTCTGTGGCTGGCTGAAGGGTGAGTCAGGATTCTAAATTCTAGCTGCAGTGCTGGGGAAAATGGAAACACCAGGCAAGGAGTACATCATGATGTCAGCAGTTTCCGAGGGCTGGTCAAAATGCCAGAAAACACGGCTGGTTTTACAATGCAATAAATGTATCTGAATGTTCCAAAAAAACGAGGCAAAGGATCTGTGCTCATGACATCTGCCCTCAAGCAGGTAGATGTTTTGATATGGTGTGCCTAGAACCTAACGTGCCACCAATTAAAGTGTATCGCTGGCATGCAAGGATGCAAAGAAAACACTGCTACATGTAAGGTGCAGCAGGCCCAAAGCTCCACAAGGTGGGCAGCCCCAAATGAAACCCCTTGGTCACTTCATCAGTGATCCAAATTCAAGTTTCAGAAATCATTCATCTATTCCTAAACTTTACAGCACGTTGAGAAACAATGACCACCAAAATGTCAACACAAAGTTTCACATAACTGACAAAAGATTGCTATGCAGAACATATAAAGAACTTTTAGGCTGGGCGCGGTGGCTCATGCCTGTAATCCCAACACTTTGGGAGGCTGAGGCAGGTGGATCACCTCAGGTCAGGAGTTCAAGACCAGCCTGACCAACATAGAGAAACCCCGTCTCCACTAAAAATACAAAATTAGCCGGGCATGGTAGTGCATGCCTGTAATCCCAGATACTCAGGAGGCTGAGGCAGGAGAATCGCTTGAACCCGGGAGGCGGAGGTTGCAGTGAGCCGAGATTGCACAAAACTCCGTCTTAAAAAAAAAAGAACCCTTACAAAGTAGTAAGAAAAAGACAACCCAACAGAAGAAATAAGCAAAATAGCAAAGAGGAAACCTGAATAGTCTACAAATATATGAAGAGATATTCAACCCCACTGGTAATCTGGGAAACGCTAATTGAAAAAAATGAGACACCAAATGGAAATTAATGTTCGCACAAAAAACCTATACATAAATGTTAACAGCAGCTTTATTTGTAATAGCCTAAACTTGGAAATAAACATAGGTCCTTCAATGAGTGATGGTTGAACAGACTGTGGTCCATCCATACCATAGAATACCAACAATAAAAGGGATTTTTTTTTGTTTTTCTTGGTTTTTTTTTTGAGATGGAGTCTCGTTCTATCACCCAGGCTAGAGTGCACTGGTGCAGTCTTGGCTCACTGCAACCTCTGCCTCCTAGGTTCAAGCAATGTGCCTGCCTCAGCCTTCCAAGTAGCTGTGACTATAGGCATGCACCATCACGTCCAGCTAATTTTTGTATATATATATTTTTTGAGATGGAGTCTCGCTCTGTCACCCAGGCTGGAGTGCAGTAGTGCAATCTCAGCTCACTGAAACCTCCGCCTCCCAGGTTTAAGCAGTTCTTTGCCTTAGCTTCCCAAGTAGCTGGGATTATAGGAGTGTGCCACCACGCCCGGCTAATTTTTATATTTTTAGTAGAGACGGGGGTTTCACCATCTTGGCCAGCCTGGTCTTGAACTCCTGACCCTGTAATCCACCTGCCTCTGCCTCCCAAAGTGCTGGGATTATAGGCGTGAGCCACCGCGCCCGGCCTACTTCTTGTATTTTTAGTAGAGACAGGGTTTCACCATGTTGTCCAGGCTAGTCTCAAACTCCTGGCCTCAGTGATCCGCCTGCCTCGGCCTCCCAAAGTGCTAGGATTAAAGGTGTGAGCCACTGTGCCCGGCCTTGGATTACTGATACATGCAACAACTTGGTGCTGAATATGCTGAGTGAAAAAAGCCAATCTCTAACGGTTACATACTACATGGTTCCTTTTATACAACATTTTGTTTAATTTTTATTTTTTTTCTTTTTAAGTTTCCACACACAATATTGAATACAACATTTTTGAAAGGATAAAATCTTTTTTTTTTTTTTTTTGAGATGAAGTCTTGCTCTATCACCCAGGCAGGGGTGCAGTGGTGCGATATCAGCTCACTGAAACCTCTGCCTCCTGGGTTCAAGCGATTCTCCTGCCTCAGCATCCCAAGTAGCTGGGATTACAGGTGCCCACCACCACGCCTGGCTAATTTTTTTTAGATGGAGTCTCTCCCTGTCATCCAGGCTGGAGTGCAGTGGTGCAATCTCGGCTCACTGTAACCTCTACCTCCTGGGTTCAAGCAATTCTCCTGCCTCAGCCTCCCTAGTATCTGGGACTACAGGCACGCGCCACTGCACCTGGCTAATTTTTGTATTTTTAGTTGAGACGGGGTTTCACCACATTGGCCAGGCTGGTCTCGAACTCCTGACCTCGTGATCTGCCTGCCTTGGCCTCCCAAAGTGCTGGGATTATAGGCGTGAGCCACCGCGCCTGGTCTAATTTTTTGTATTTCTTTTTTTTTTTTTTTTTAGTAGAGACGCGGTTTCACCATGTTGGCCAGGCTGGTTTCGAACTCCTGACCTCAAGTGATCTGCCTGCCTTAGCCTCCCAAAGTGCTAGGATTACAGGCATGAGCCACCTTGCCCAGCCTGAAAGGATAAAATCTTGCAAATGAAGAACAGAGGTTAAAAAGAAGGGGGAGGCCAGGTGCAGTGGCTCACACCAGTAATCCCAGTACTTTGGGAGGTCGAGGCAGGCTGATCACTTGAGGCCAGGAGTTCCAGACCAGCCTGGCCAACATGGTAAAACCCCGTCTTTACTAAAAATACAAAAATTAGCCAGGTGTGGTGATGCATCCCTGTAGTCCCAGCTACTTGGGAGGCTGAGGCACAAGAATTGCTTGAACCCAGCAGGTGGAGGTTGCAGTGAGCTGAGATTTTGCACGACAGGAAGATCCTTGTGTTTTAACTGTTCTGTATCTTGAGTGTGGAGGTGGATACATGGACCTACATATGACATAAAATTATATATAATTAAATGCATTCACACACACATAAAATGAGTCTGAGTAAAACTAGGGAAACTTGTACAAAATTGGTGGACTGTGCCAATTTTGATATTCTGGTTGTGACTATACTTTTGCAAAGTATTATCATCAGTAGGATCTGGGTTAACGGTATGCAAGTTCTCCGTATTATTTCTTTCGACTACATATGAAATCTACAGTTATCTGAATAAAATTTTTTTTTTTTTTTTTTGAGACAGAGTCTCGCTCAGGGTGGAGTGCAGTGGCACAATCTTGGCTCACTGCAACCTCCGCTCCCAGGTTCAAGCGATTCTCCTGCCTCAGCCTCCTGAGTAGCTGGGACTACAGGTGCTCCCCACCATGCCCAGCTAATTTTTTGTATTTTTAGTAGAGATGGGGTTTCGCCACGTTGGCCAGGATGGTCTCAATCTCCTGACTTCGTGATCCACTCGCTTTGGCCTCCCAAAGTGGTGGGATTACAGGCATGAGCCACTGCGCCCAGCCTGAATAAAAATTTAAATAAAAAGAGACACCATGTTTCACCCATGAGATTGGCAAACAAATTTTAAAATCTCACAGTATAAAGTTCTGGCAAGGGTGTAAGAAACATGAAGCCTTCATCCACTGCTACTGAGAGTATAATTAGCTATGGCCACTTTTGAGAGTAATATGACAAGCAACCAGTGAAATTTAAAATATCACCCTTCATTGCTCAACATTCACCTTCTGGGGCATATATACTCTAGAGAAATGATTCTGCATGGGCCTGAAAAAATTTGCAAATTTGCATGTAAGGGTTTATGATAGCAAAGGAGTGAAAATAATGTAAATATCCTCTAATAGGTGAATGAACAAATAGAACATAGTTTATTTATAATATAAAGCAGCATAAAGTAATGAACTTGATGAGAATGAACATATATATATATACACACACACACACACGCAGATAGATCTTAGAGACACAATATCAAATTTAAAAAGCAAGTTACGGATTGATATTTACTTATTCAACAAATACTTGGGTGCTTACCATGTGTCAGGAGCTGTTCTAGGAGCTAGCAGTACAGCAGAAAACAGACAAAGCAAGATAAAGTCTCTGCTTCACATATCTTACATTCTTGTACAGGAACACAAGCAAATAGACACAATACTATTTATGTAAAAATGTTAAGGGTGCATGTATGGTTTGGAATATATATCACATGTATACACATACACATACATATGTTAATGTATACACACATTTTTTAACTGCTCCTTGTGGAGCAGGGGTACTCTAAAAGCAGTGTGCCTAGGGAAGCCATACTTTTTAAAAAATAATATTTAAGGCTGGGCATGGTGGGTCAGGCCTGTAATGACAGCACTTTGGGAGGCCAAGGCAGGTGGATCACCTGAGGTCAGGAGTTCAAGCCCAGCCTGACCAACAAGGTGAAACCCCATCTCTACTAAAACTACAAAAATTAGCTGGGCGTGGTGGTGTGCACCTGTAATCCCAGCTACTTGGGAGGCTGAGGCAGGAGAATCACTTGAACCCAGAAGGCGGAGGTTGCATTGAGCCAAGATGGCACCATTGCACTCCAGCCTGGGCAACAGAGCAGGACTCCATCTCAAAATAAATAAATAAATAAAATCTTAAAAATAATATTTTAAAATGGACTAGAACGATATACTTAATTTTTTTGAGACAGGGTCTTGCTATGTTGCCCAAGCTGCTCTTAAACTCCTGAGTTCAAGGGTCCTTCCACCTCAGCCTTCTGAGTAGCTGGGACTACAGGCACATACCTGTGCCCAGTTTATACCATTTTTATGCTATTGGGAGGAAGGAAAATAAGTAGGACTTGGGGTGAGGGTGGTTGAAGGGAACGTTAACTGTATCTGCAATACTTTAATTATCTAAAAGCCATTCTTTGGCCAAGTATAAACACAAATGTTTTCTTTTGTAGTTACAATTAATAATTGAAAGATATATCTATATATATATATATATAGATATATATATATATATTTAGATGGAGTCTCACTCTGTCGCCCAGGCTGGAGTGCAATGGCACGATCTCGGCTCACTGCAAACTCCGCCTCCTGGGTTCACGCCATTCTCCTGCCTCAGCCTCCTGAGTAGCTGGGACTACAGGCGCCCGCCACCACGCCCGGCTAATTTTTTGTATTTTTAGTAGAGACGGGGTTTCACCGTGTTAGCCAGGATGGTCTGAATCTCCTGACCTCGTGATCCGCCCACCTCGGCCTCCCAAAGTGCTGGGATTACAGGCGTGAGCCACCGTGCCCGGCCATGAAAGATATTTTTATAGTATAAAAATTTAGAGTCTAAGTTAATATTTCATAAATTGAGGTCTGAGCACATTTCTCAAGATTGAAAACTACTGACGTATTTATTGATTCATCCTTGCCAAACTCACGAGTGACTAATTTATAAACTAGAATGGCCATTTGTGTTAATTTTTAAAGAAAGGGGCTAGAGACTCAATGAACAAATGGGTAGTATTAAAACCTAGGCTCTCCTTTTCTTATCATCACTGCAATTAATTGCATTAATCAGGCATTAAGCCCCTTATGAGATGTGGCTGGCACCCTAGTTTAGATCACGTTCAAAACATTTGCTCTTTTTGGGATTTGTAGGAACTCTTTGCAACTCTGTAAGTCTCCTTTTTTCATTTAAAATGAATGGATTAGGCTAAATATCTGAGATTAGACTAAATACTTTTCTGGATCTTAGCTTCTAATTCACTCAATTATATAGTAGTTCTTTTTCAACTTAATCTTTACAAATTTGTTATTATTATTATTATTATTATTATTACTATTTTTGAGATGGAGTCTCACTCTTGTCTCCCAGGCTGGAGTGCAATGGAGCGATCTCAGCTCACTGCAACCTCCCGCTCTGATTCTCCTGCCTCAGCCTCCTGAGTAGCTGGGATTACAGGCGCCAGCCACACCCGGCTAATTTTTGTATTTTTAATAGAGACGGGGTTTCCCCATGTTGGCCAGGCTGGTCTCCAACTCTAGACAAATGGCTAGAAAGTACTAGAATCAGGATTTCTTTTTTGTGTGTGTGTGAGTCATCAGCGCCAGGCCACAGAGGCTTTTGTTAGGAGTTAAATGAGGCTGGGCGCAGTGTCTTACGCCTATAATCCCAGCACTTTGGAAGGTGGAGGAGGATGGATCACCTGAGGTCAGGAGTTTAAGACCAGCCTGGCCAACATGGTGAAACCCTGTCTTTACTAAAAATACAAAAATTATGGCCAGATGCGGTGGCTCACGCCTGTAATCCCAGCACTTTGGGAGGCCGAGGTGGGCAGATCACCTGAGGTCAGGAGTTTGAGACCAGCCTGGCCAACATAGTGAAACCCTGTCTCTACTAAAATACAAAAACCTACATGGTAAAACCCCATCTCTACTAAAAATACAAAAATTAGGTGGGCGTGATGTCACGTGCCTATAATCCCAGCTACTTGGGAGGGAGGCTGAGGCAGGAGAACTGCTTGAATCAGGGAGTCGGAGGTTGCGGTGAGTCGAGATGGCGCCACTGCACTCCAGCCTGGCAAGACAGTGAGACTCCTTCTCAAAAAAAAAGAAAAAAAAAAAAGAAATAGAAAAAGAAAAAAATTATATGGGGGTGGTGGCGCATGCCTGTAATCCCAGATACTCGGGAGGCTGAGGCAGGAGAATCGCTTGAACCCGGGAGGTGGAAGTTGCAGTGAGCCAAGATCGTGTCATTGCACTCCAGCCTGGGCAACAATGCGAGACCTTGTCTCAAAAAAACAAAAAGTTAGCCAGGCGTGGTGGTGGGCGCCTGTAATCCCAGCTACTCAGGAGGCTAAGGCAGGAGAATCACTTTAGCAGGCAGCAGAGGTTGCAGTGAGCCGAGGTTGCACCAGTGCACTCCAGCCTGGGTAACAGAACAAGACTACATCTCAAAAAAATAAATAAATAAACCATACCAAAAAAACCCTCATTATTTTGATATCCATTGTTTAGTTCCAAGTTTAATTAAATTACGTAGAAACTTAATATAAAATTACTTTTAAAAAAAATTAATGCAGCTTCTTTTTTTTTTTTGAGATGGACTCTCACTCTGTCACCCAGTTTGGAGTTCAGTGGTGCTATCTGGGCTCACTGTAACCTCCATCCTGGGCTCAGGTGATTCTCCCACCTCAGCTTCCTGAGTAGCTGGGACTGCAGGCAGGTGCCACTACGTCTGGCTAATTTTCTGTATTTTTGGTAGAGACAGGGTTTCACTATGTTGCCGAGGCTGGTCTGAAACTCCCGAGCTCAGGCAATCCACCTGCCGCAGCCTCTCAAAGAGTTGGAATTACAGGCATGAGCCACTGCACCTGGCCAGCTATTTTTCTTTTAAGGAAAAAAAGAGGCTGCTCTGCTTATGGAGTAGCCCTTCTTTATTCCTTTACTTTATACAAAGAAAAAGAAAAAAAATGGGTGGTTTTACTTTCAAACTTTTTTTTGAGACGGAGTCTCACTCTGTCGCCCAGGCTGGAGTGCAGCTGCACAGCCTCAGCTCGCTGCAAGCTCCACCTCCCAGGTTCACACCGTTCTCCTGCCTCAGCCTCCTGAGTAGCTGGGACTACAGGCACCTGCCACCACGCGGGTAATTTTTTGTATTTTTAGTAGAGACGGGGTTTCACCTTGTTAGCCAGGATGGTCTCGATCTCCTGACCTTGTGATCCGCCCGCCTCAGCCTCCCAAAGTGCTGGGATTACAGGCGTGAGCCACTGCGCCCGGCCTACTTTGAAACTTTTAAAACTATTTGCAAATAAAATTTTTCTCTAACCAGTTAGTTTGCAGTAGAGTTTCAATTCAAGGTCACAGAAGAGGAAGCCAACTAACTAATGAAATGCTCACTAAATGATTTGTCAGTGTTTCATATTTTCTTTATCATCAGTTAGCATTCCCTACACCATCACTTTAGGGAGTCAATAGAATTTTATAGGAGTAGGCCTCAGTAAGTACTGGGAGGCCAGTAGCACTGTTCAAGCACATGGGCTGTCTGTGTTTGAAGCCTGACCTGTCATTTGTTCACTTTCTGACCTTGAGCAGATTACTTAAACTCTCTCGACCTGTTTCTTCATGGGGATAATACAAGTACTTCTAGGGGGTTTGTGAAAACTCATAAAGAGGTTAAAAACATTGCCTGGCATACAGTAAGCACCCAATAAGAATAAGAAATAATATTTGTATAGTAATTATGCCAGAAACTGTTATAAGAGCTGTATATATATTAACAATTAGCTATTACTAGTATTACTAATTCCTAGTTCAGGATTTAGCTTAGTAAACTTTCTGCTTCAGAAGCAAATACGAGAGGTGAAAACATCAATTTATTCTCCTCAGTCTTAGTTACATACTTTCCAAGTCAAGTCACAGAGCACAATTTCCTTGCTGGCAGGGACAAGACATGGGTTTACATGATATCACCTATCCCCTCAATTTAACAGCATGTACTATGCAGTTGGGCATTTAAGCAGAAATTAAGAGTTGGCAGGTATTGCTCAACTGGTACCCATTTTAGGAATAATGCTGAATCATAGCATTTTATCTGGTCTTCTCTCAGGATACTTAATGCTAATTTTTTGTATTTTTAGTAGAGACGGGATTTCACCTTGTTAGCCAGGATGGTCTCGATCTCCTGACCTCATGACCCATCTGCCTCGGCCCCCCAAAGTGCTGGGATTATAGGCGTGATCCACCGTGCCCGGACTTTTTTTTTTTTTTTTTTTTTGAGACAGAGTCTCCCTCTGTTGTGCAGGCTGGAGTGCAGTGGCCCAATCTCTTGCTCCCAGGTGCAAGCGATTCTCCTGCCTCAGCTTCCCAAGTAGCTGGGATTACAGGTGCCCACCACCACACTCGGCTAATTTTTGTGTTATTAGTAGAGACAAGTTTTCACTATGTTGCCCAGGCTGCTCTCAAACTCCTGACCTCAGGTGATCCACCTACCTCGGCCTCCCAAGTGCTGGGAAGTTGTTTTTTTTTTCTTTTCTTTTTTTGAGACTGAGTCTTGCTCCGTCACCCAGGCTGGAGTGCAGTGGCGTGATCTCGGCTCACTGCAAGCTCTGCCTCTCAGGTTCAAACGATTCTCCTGCCTCAACCTCTCGAGTAGCTTGGACTATAGGTCCCCGCCACCACGACCAGCTAATTTTTTGTATTTTTAGTAGACAGGATTTCACCGTGTTAGCCAGGATGGTCTTGATCAGCTGACCTCGTGATCCGCCCGCCTCGGCCTCCCAAAGTGCTGGATTACAGGCGTGAGCCACCGAACCCAGCCGACACTTAATACTTTCTTATGGCCCTTGTTATCCTGCAAGTTCTTCAAGGGCAAACTCTGTGTCTTAAGTAGTCACCTTTGTAACCCTTGCAATGCTGAGCATGAGACTGAACACTGGAGGAGAGGAGGGGAATAAAACATCTCCAGGGAAGAGGAATGTAATGGGAGCCTCTTCAAGTCCCACTGGCAGCTTATCTTTTGAGTGAGCTTTTTCCTATTTTCAAACATTTCTAGTAAAATAGGCATACCAAAGGGTATATCCAGGCAATACAAGCCATTGTAGTTAAATTCCACCATACACCTTTTCTGGCGCCTCACGATCAGCCTGGCTCTATTAATAATAGTCGTTACAGGAAGCTGCATGCCAGGTAGAAAGAGCCATTAGCTGTTACCACTCCACTGCCAAGAAGTAAAGACATTGTTTCCATTTCTTCTACTTAAGTCTTTTAAAACCTATAGAACATTATGTCCAGTATCTCTATCTCACACTCACTTTCATTTTCTATAGCTGTTGAAATTTTTGTTTTAATATTAGGAATATTCCATTCCTGGGTCTATAATGAATAGCAAACATTTTATACAGTACTATGGTTGGAATGGTAAACAAAAATAAGTCAGAAAATATTAATTTTTGGCCATATGGTAATTTTAACTTGTCCTCTTGGTGTGGTGTGGACGCACCCAGGTTGGACTTCATACATAGCCTCTTGCATTATATTGACTCATTGTCAGAGCTCACGAAGTCACTACCTAAGTGTCTGATTGCTACACTATACATTACTTCAAGATACTATGAAGGTTAATCAGATTACAAAGGGGAAATCATAAAGCTGAGTAAGCTTCTTGGTAATAAAACTATATAAATACAAAATACTGTTTTTTATTGGCAGATAATATATCGTGTTTTAGCACAACACATAAGCTGCTAGGCATTTATTCAATCTGATTGGGAATGGGTTAAATTTGGTTAAAAAATTTTACCTTAGGTTGCTTTAATTAAAAAAATGTTTAAGGCTGAGTGCAGTGGCTCACACCTGTAATCCTAGCACTTTGGGGGCACTGGGTGCAGTGGCTCACACCTGTAATCCTAGCACTTTGGCCTAGCACCGCTTGAGGCCAGGAGTTCAAGACCAGCCTGGCCAACATGATGAAACCCCATCTCTACTAAAAATACAAAAATTAGCCAGGCGTGGTGGTGGGCGCCTGCAGTCCCAGCTACTCAGGAGGCTGAGGCAGAATTGGTCAAACATGGGAAGCGGAGGTTGCAGTGAGCTGAGACAGCACTCCAGCCTGGGCAACAGAGGGAGACCCTGTCTCAAAAAATAGTAATAAATAAATTTAAAAAGTTCGGCCAGGCGCGGTGGCTCATGCCTGTAATCCCAGTGCTTTGGGAGGACGATCACCACTTTGGGTGGGCGGATCACCTGAGGTCGGGAGTTTGAGACCAGCCTGACCAACATGGAGAAACCCCGCCTATACTAAAAATACAAAATTAGCCGGGCGTGGTGGCGCATGCCTATAATCCCAGCTACTGGGGAGGCTGAGGCAGGAGAATCACTTGAATCCAGGAGGCGGAGGTTGCAGTGAGCTGAGATCGTGCCATTGCACTCCAGCCTGGGCAACGGAGTGAGACTCCGTTCTCAAAAAAAAAAAAAAGTTTAAAATATCATTGGTCTTTAAAGTTATACATTCATTCTTTGATAATTGCTATGTTGAACGCAACCTCCTAACTGCTTTACAATGATTAAGCACTAATGATTTGAACCCAGGTTTAAAGTCTGACTCTCAACACATGTGCTCTGCCTTCTCACGAACATGATTTCAAAAATCATAGCCCCGGGATTTGGGATTGGTGGCTTATGCCTGTAAACCCAGCGACAGAGCAAGACCCTACTCTTAAAAAAAAAAAAAATTAAAGAAAAAAAGAAAAATAAATCATAGTGTTGAACTGGCAGGTTTCACTGAGACGAAACTTGGGACTCTTCCTTTTTTTTTGTTTCGAATAAAGCCATTCTAGAATGAGACAAAATTCTAAAATATTTTATAGTTAACAGTTTAAATTGGGTTTAATCTTGACAAGACTATCTAGGGCTATATACACAAATCTCTTTTGGAGAAAATACCACAACTAAACTGAAGTCTATTCCTGAATATGACAGACCAGGTCAAATGGTTATCCTTGCCCTCCCGGGGGATGTCACTCATAAACGTGCCAAAAGTCACAGTCTAGGCCCCATTACCTTACATGCTCATGACCTTCCCAGGGAGGCCCCTCGCCCTTACCAGGCACTTTCATCTTGGGAAGACACATCAGTCCTGGCGGAGAAAGCAGCAAGGCCTTTCCCCGGCTCACAAAAATTAATACAAATCTCAGAGGCTGCATCCCACAGCCGTGACCACCGTGACTTGGCATCCCCTTTTCTGCAAACTTAAATGTTATCTAGAAATCGGGCCTGGCTCTGAAAGCCAAGGGCCTGGCAGGAGCCCGAGAAAGGGGAGAAACTTTCTGCGGCCCCAAGCTAATGGCAGTCACTGCACCGAGACCCGTCCCCTGGCATCCCTTTGCTCCAGCTGGCCAAGACAGACCACCAAGGTCAGCCAGATTTCCACCCAGTCTGGCCGGGCCCGGACCCAGCTGGGAATGAACCGAGAAGCACCGGGACCCGGATCCCGGCGTGAAAGGCCGCGCGCGGGGCACGGCGGGAAAAGACGCTGCGCGCAGAAACACCCGCCCCGCGCCGCGCTCTAGTGGGCGGCCCTGCCGCGGGCGGCTCTGATTGGACTGCCGAACCCCGCGCGCTGATTGGCCGCGTGGGCGAGGCGGAGGAGAGCCGTGCGCAGCGGCGTATGTGGGGCCGTGTGCAGACCCGCGTGTGGCGCAGGCAAGGACCCTCAAAATAAACAGCCTCTACCTTGCGAGCCGTCTTCCCCAGGCCTGCGTCCGAGTCTCCGCCGCTGCGGGCCCGCTCCGACGCGGAAGGTGAGGGCTGGGGGAGGGGCCCGGCGCTGACGGAGCCGCAGTGCGGGTCGGGTCTGTGGCGGACAGAGAGGGTAGGGAGCGGCGAGGTGGCGATGGCGGCCGCACTTTGGCCTGCGCCTCTGCTGCGTCAGGCGGGAAGCTCGGCTGCTGCCGCCGCCTCGGACCCGGGTTTCTGGCGCACCGCTGTCGGACGACACTTCTGTCCTTTCTTCGTCCTGGAAAGCTGGGTCGCCGAGCATGCGGGTCTTTCGGCGCCACGGCCGCACCCCAGGCCGCAGGCTTAGGGCAGAGGAGGCCCGCCCGTGCGCCCTTGGGGCCGAGGCCCTGACGCTTCGAGGGTCGCGGAATGAGGGACCGAGGGTGGATTTGGCGGGAACTCACTGGAAGGAGTCCGTGTGGTGGGGAAAGGCTCCCGGCTGCGGATGAAGGGGGGATGGGGTGGGTATAGTCGTGCAGGCCATGTGCTGGGGTCGTGCGCCTGGCGGGCCATGTGCCAAGGGTTTTGGGGGCCTTAGAAAAGGGTTCTTAGGCCGGGCGCGGTGGCTCACGCCTGTAATCCCAGCACTTTGAGAGTCCCAGGCGGGCGGATCACGAGGTCAGGAGTTCGAGACCAGCCTGACCAATATGGTGAAAGTTGGTCTGTACTAAAAATAAAAAATTAGCCGGGCATGGTGGCGGGCGCATGTAGTCCCAGCAGCTCGGGAGGCTGGACAGGAGAATCGCGTGAACCCCGGAGGCCGAGGTTGTGGTGAGCCGAGATCGCGCCACTACACTCCAGCATGGGCAACAGAGAGAGACTCCGTCTTAAAAAAACAAACAAACAAACAAACAAACAACAACAAAGGGTTCCTGAAGAAGCCTTTGTGTTTGGAGTGGCGAGACTGCTGGAAGACTTGGGAGCTTTTAGAGTTTATACTCCCTATCCTTGATAGTTTTCCGATTCTTGAATTTTTATCGTCATTTAAATACTAAGTTGCTTGTGTTACATTACCATTCCAAAAGGGGCTGATGGGGCTCACATTCCAAGAGTTAACACTATTTAAGTTGCTGGGATCCTTTAAAAGCGCCATTACCAGAAAAAACACGAATTTGTCAAACCTCCAAAACCACAGCAGCGGGCGGTAGTCTGCATCATTTCTTGGATTAATGAAACAGATGTAATTACAAACGAGACACGAAATTCAACTAGCTCCCCTCCATCTAGATTTTTCCATATCGTGAGAACCTGTTTTAGAATGGCATAATGGTCCACATTTGGGTTTAGGTGTTGATTTTATTATGGGTAAGGCTTGTGCTTGTTCCCACATGTTAACCATATGGCCTCAGCCACAGGGCACTTCCAAAGGAAGTGACTGTTTCTGGTCTTGGGGGTCTTGTAAAAAGAGAACATTGCTCAGTAATCGTCTGTGATTTTAGCTAGTGTGTTTCAGGCATTATTCAGAAGGACTCAGGTGAGATAAGCCAAAACTGAATTTGTTTTTTGTCTTTCTCAAAGTGAAGGAGGTCTAATGAATATCCCCATCTTGCTTTTAAATTACATTTTTAAAAGTAGATTTTTCCCCCTTTCCTATTGTTTGACCCAATTTTGGAGTGAAACGTAACCAGTTACTATTTCCATTCGAATTTAAATTAGCAATTTTATGTTATTTGTTTGTTCAAGCAGTATAACTGGAGTGTAGAGCTTTGAGGGTTTCAAAAAGATAAGAGATATAGTACTTATCTCCTGGGCTTCCCCCTCCCCCCTCCTAAATAGTTTTAAATGCTTCTAATGAGTTACTCTGGTTAAGGATAATCAAACACCTGTAAACTGCCAGGATCCTAGGTACATGCTGTTTTTAGTTTGTTGAGCCTGATTCTTGTCTACAAGAGTTCTTTGTGTATTGGAATATAAAAGGAATAATTTATTACATTCCCAAGGGCAGAATTAAAGACTTAAGTTTTTCCGATTTCATCTCTTGATAAGTTTTTCTTTAAAAAAATAACAGTTTGTGTTTTTCTGAGGAACCAAAGGTCCTCTTTTTTTTCATATTGGTAACAGGAGAGGTAATGTATTTCAGATGGTGCAGTCTGTAAAATATTTTGAACCAAATCAGTGGAAGACCAGGGGTTTTTCTTTTTTTTTTTCTGAGACGGAGTCTCACTCTGTCGCCCAAGCTGGAGTGCAGTGGCGCGATCTCGGCTCACTGCGACCTCCGCCTCCCGGATTAAGCGATTCTCCTGCCTCAGCCTCCGAAGTAGCTGGGATTACAGGCGCCCGCCGCCACACCCAGCTAGTTTTTGTATTTTAGTACAGACGGGGTTTCACCATGTTGGCCAGGCTGGTCTCGAACTCCTGACCTTGTGATCCGACTCCCTCGGCCTCTCAAAGTGCTAGGATTACAGGCAGGAGCCACCGCGCCTGGCCAGGTTTTTCTTAAACTGGCATTTGAACATCTGGAACAGGCAGGGAGATGTCTTTTTTAAAGTATAAATGTGTTTTGTTACATGATTTATGACAATTCTACTTGTCTTTTTTTTTTTTTTTTTTTTTTTTTTTGAGACAGAGTCTTTCTCTGTCGGCCAGGCTGGAATGCAGTGGCACAGTCTCGGCTCACAGCAGCCTCCATCTCCCGGGCTCAAGCAATTCTCCTGCCTCAGCCTCCCAAGTAGCTGGGATTACAGGCGTGTGCCACCACGCCCGGCTAATTTTTGTATTTTTTGTAGAGACGGGGTTTCACCATGTTGGCCAGGCTGGTCTTGATCTCCTGACCTCAGGTAATTCACCCGCCTCGGCCTCCCAAAGTGCTGGGATTACAGGCCTGAGCCACCGTGCCTTGCCAACAATTCTACTTGTCTTTTAAAGTTCAATAAAAATATGTGGCACGTATATGGGATAGTACCAAACTGGTGCCTAAAAGCAGTGAAACCACCATTGGACTAATTGGAATGATTTGTCTATTGGCTGAAGATTTGACCACAGAGAGATTCTGCTTTTTTTTCCTTGCAGGGATGAAAAATTAAAAAAAAAAAAAAAGATTGGTTCCTTTTTCTCTTCCTAGCCTCCTGACAGTAAGTAGAGAGCCAGAAGAATGATGCCAAGGCATCCTGGCCTGCTATGTGGAGAACGCTCTTTCCTTACTGTCTCACTTAATAGAACTCCTGTTCTGGCAGTGTCAGATGCTGCAGCAGCAAGGGAATGCCATTGAGTGATTGCAGTAAGCTATGCAGCATTTTCATGTTTAAAACTACTGAGATAATAAAGTGAGAACTTGAGGCCACCAAATTTTAAGTTGTAATTAGAAGGATTTTGTTAATTAGGAATATGAGAGTGCTACAGTGATCACCTGGAATGGCTCCATAAATACAAATGAGGTGTTAACTAGTGAAGCAAGTTGCCAGTGTTTGTGTGTTTGGTGAGACTCCTAAGTTCTGCCATGAAGTTAAAGAAAATATTTTTTAAGATTCAAGAAAGCTGTGTGAATGAATTCAAAATTATTATGACTGTAGATCTTTTAAAAAGCTATCAGTATTAGTTTTACTTTGATTTTTATCTAAAGAGAAATACAGAATGAATACTTACAGCATTACAATTCAAATGTGCGTGGCTTTTTTTTTTCTTAGTTACTAGATATATAGTAGTAATACCTTTATGTAATATTTTGAAGTAGAGATTGAATTGGTATAATTCCCTACCTTAAAAATATTACACAATAGCATTTTTGTCATATATTACGATAGCATTTTTGTGTACTTTACCACTTAACTTTTTTTTTCCTTTTCTTTTTTTTTTGGAGACAAAGTCTTGCTCTGTCGCCCAGGCGGGAGTGCAATGGCAGGATCTCAGCTCACTGCAACCTCTGCCTCCTGGGTTTAAGCCATTCTCCTGCCTCAGCCTCCTGAGTAGCTGGGACTATAGGCGTGTGCCACCACGCCCGGCTAATTTTTGTTTTTTTAGTTTTTTTTGGAGACGGAGTCTCGCTTTGTCACCCACACTGGAGTGCAAATGGCATGATCTCGGCTCACTGCAGCCTCCACCTCCTGGGTTCAAGCGATTCTCTTGCCTCATGCACCACCACGCCCAGTTAATTTTTGTATATTTAGTAGAGATGGGGTGTCACTATGTTGGCCAGGCTGCCGACCTCAAGTGATCTTCCCTCCTCAGCCTCCCAAAGTGCTGGGATTACAGGCATGAGCCACTGCCCCTGGCCAGTGTCAGATGTTTAGTTTGTCATTAAAATGGAGCAAGAATACATAACTCGTGAGGTTGTAAGATTATAGATATGTTTACTAATGACTGACTCATAGATATCCAGCTGTTAAAACTCTTCAAGAAGTAATCAGGGCAGGCGGAAATGGATGTAATTAACCAAGGTCAAGCAGTAAGTTCAGGAACCAGGATAAAAATACAGAATTGCTCCCGAGTAAGTACTCTGTTTTCCATTATTCTGGCTGGAATGCAGGTAATACAGAAAGTATATTGCTTCCTTTCATTGCTTTTTTTTTCTTCTTTTTTTCCTTTGAGGTGGAGTTTCGCTCTTGTTGCCCAGGCTGGAGTGCGATGGCATGATCTCGGCTCACCGCAACCTCTGCCTCCCGGGTTCAAGCGATTCTCCTGCCTCAGCCTCCTGAGTATTTGGAACTACAGGCACGGGCCACCACACCCGGCCAATTTTGTGTTTTTAGTAGAGACGGGATTTCTCCATGTTGGTCAGGCTGGTCCTGAGCTCCCGACCTTTGGTGATCCACCCACCTCTGCCTCCCAAAGTGCTGGGATTACAGGTGTGAGCCAGCACACCCGGCCCCCATAGTTCGTTTTTATTAAAAGAATCTGGGCCATCCTGGCTAACACGGTGAAACCCCCGTCTCTACTAAAAATACAAAAAAAAAGTAGCCAGGCGTCGTGGTGGGCACCTGTAGTCCCAGCTACTCGAGAGGTTGAGGCAGGAGAATGGGGTGAACCTGGGAGGTGGAGCTTGCAGTGAGCCGAGATCGTGCCACTGCACTCCAGCCTGGGCGAAGCAAGACTCCGTCTCAAAAAAAAAAAAAATCTGAAGTGTTTCAGTACCATGTTGGGACAGTAAACTGACTTAACGGAGCATAATAATGTGCATACTTACATACATTCAGAGGGCAAAAGCTCCAGTATGGTCTAAATGCAGTTAAGTGAACAACATGAATGAGTCAGGGATAACCCTGAGCTTGCGAAAAGTAAGCATATATACAAATGTGAATGTGTACAGCTGTGTTAGAAAACCATATAAAATAATAAAGATAGCCAGAATCATACCCTACTTTGCTAGTGTCATTTTTATCTCCAACTTGCCTGTTGCTACTTTATTTTAAATGTATTTTCTAGGACAGAGTTATGAACATTCTATTTATTAGAACCCTAGTTGTTAGTCTTGACCACATACTGTTAGATTTTAGTAGTTTACTATATTTGTTTTTAGTATCAATAGTATGGTACAAGTACTGACATTAAGGAAGACAAATTAGTATACTAACCATTTGTGGTTTCTTTAATTCCAAGATAAGTTCAAAATGTGTAAAATAGTTACACCTCTTAGTTTAGCATACATGGCTCCTCACAGTAAATCTTAAGTCTTGTCAGACCTTATTTTTTTTTTTTTTTTTTTTTGAGACAGAGTCTTGCTCTGTTGCCCAGGCTGGAGTGCAGTGGTGCGATCTTGGCTCACTGCAACCTCTGCCTCCTGGGTTCAAGCAATTCTTGTGCGTCAGCCTCCTGAGTAGCTGGGATTACAGGCATGCACCACCATGTCCAGCTAATTTTTGTATTTTTAGTAGAGACAGGGTTTCACCATGTTGGCTAGCTGGTCTCGAACTCCTGACCTCAGGTGATGCATCTGCCTCGGCCTCCCAAAATGCTGGGATTAGAGGTGTGGGCCACCCCGCCCGGCCCAGACCTTATCTTGACTATCTTAGTCATTTCTTCTCTTGCCTGACATGCCCTGTGCTCCTACCACCCTTTAAAGTGGTTTGTGTCATAAACATTTGATACACAAAAATGGAAACTTAGGACAAATATCTTGATGTCTGGTGGTTGAAAATGTGAACTGATTTGGAAATCACCGGTGTTTCTCCTCTTAATCTCTTCTCCATTCCATTCAGGAAATAGACTGTAAGGTGGGAAACAAGTATAAGCAGTTAGCCTCACTCTAAACCTGCTATGTAATAGACATTGGACTGAGTTCTGTCTACTCTCTGTAAGCAATCCAAGGTAATTGGCGAAAGTGGAAGGAATATGTACTCAGAAGACCAAAACTTTGGTTTTTAAATTGAATATCTATTAAGCACAAGGTAACAATTCTTACCACACACATCAGTTTTATTATTTCCCTTTTACAAATAAGACACAGATGGGTAGTCAGATGTCTTTGAGGTAACACAGCAAGTAGTTAAACTGGGTTAAGTGATTAACCCAGGTTGAGTATGGTTCCAAAATCTCTTACAGTGTCAGGCAGGCTACATCAGTGCAGTATACGTACATCAGGTTTCACGAAAAATTTTTTCCAGAGAAAACACAAACCCAAGGAACCTTCAGTAAGTGGTGCCTTATATTAGTGGTTTTTAGCAAAAGGAAGAAACTTAAGTGTTTTCCTGCTGCCTGACAAAAGTGAAAAACAGTATTTTGGTTTTTATTGAAGTTAGCATGTATGTTTGTAGCTTGCATAAAATAGTACTGAAATCCAATTGATTATGAATTCTTGGACTAACAGAACCTGGATGACAAATTAGAGGTTCTGGCCTGGTTGCTGGCTTTTTTAGTTGTCTTGGGTGTAAATTTCTCAGCCACACGTGGGGATTGTGTTAGATAATCTGAAATCTAATTTTCATGGTTTTATGATTCAGCAGCTTTCTTCCTTTGATATTTTCTAGTATTTGCTTTATTATAGATTGGAATCCTCAAAATAACATTGACAAGTAGAAGATACTTCTGTTAGTGGATTTAAAAAAAAATTACATTGGGAATGTCCTTTGAGTGGTTGGCCCTAATCCCTGTCAGAAGCTGAAAGTTGTGGATCCTAAATTCATCTGGGCAGAATCTCACCTATGATTTCAGAAAGCTGAGAGTTTCAGAGAGTGACTGTAGTCAGTCCTTAGTGAGTACAAAATTGAGAATACATCATTACTTTAAATTAATGGTGCAGTAACTCTTGTGACTGATAGCAATAATTTAGGTGCTTTGTTGTTAGTACTTGATTAGATTGGATTGGGTCAGTTAGTTTCACCAAATTGCTAAAGACACCTGTCCCCCTAGAATTAAAATACTGAGTTACATAATGGCTACTAAAAGGATAACTATATGGGGTGTTCGATGATTCAAAGGTGAATTACTTGGTCTCTACCTTCAAGGAATATGATACAAGGCAATATGGTACTGCCATTAGACAGATATTAACAAAGTGTCTTGGGACTTAATAGGGAGGGTAGTTCCAGGCTGGGAGATGTAGTCAGATTCTTTTATAGAGTTGGCATTTGAGTTGGCCCGTGAAGGTTGGAAAAAGTTGTGACAGGTGGAAAAGGAGCAGGGGAGACCAGGACAGTGCAGTGAAATTCCAGCCAGGAGCAGTCACAGGCAATGAGACAGACTCATGGAGCCATGATTCTCAGCTGTCTTACCTTACCTTAGTTTTCCTAAGGAATATCATGGAATTCTGTAAAGACCTTTAAACTAAATAATGTTCATATGAGATGAGTGCTAGGATGGGGACCTGCTGCCTAATATAAGTAGTGTGAGTCTAAAACATTGTGGAAAGTGGTTAGTTTAATAATGTTATTAAAGAGACAAGTCTATCACAAGGGACCAGTTACCAGTGAAACTGTAGACCACCTGATTCACTGCGATAGGGTTAGCCAAAGGGAGGAGAGGGCAGATTGCATACATAGTACCTAAGGCCACTCAAAGACCTCTTTTAAAATCACGTGTCATGTTGATGACATTTGGAGGCTATTAATGTTTTTCTTCCCTTTTAAGACTTAGTGTTTTCTTTATTAGCATTAATTTACTCTAGTAAACAAAATTATGTGTGACTAAAAATGGCAAAACAGGCTGGGCGCAGTGGCTCACGCCTGTAATCCTAACACTTTGGGAGGCCAAGGCGGGTGGATCACTAGGTCAGGAGATCGAGACCATCCTGGCCAACATGGTGAAACCCCGTCTCTACTAAAATACAAAAAATTACCTGGGCGTGGTGGTGCACGCCTGTAGTCCCAGCTATGTGGGAGGCTGAGGCAGGGGAATCGCTTGAACCCAGGAGGTGAAGGTTGCAGTGAGCCAAGATGGCGCCACCGCACTCCAGCCTGGTGACAGAGCGAGACTGTCTCAAAAAAAAAAAAAAAAAAGCAAAACATCTAAAACTTCTGTTATATTCTAGTGTGTAAAGTTCTGCCTTTGCCACTGAGATGCATATCTGTTTTACAGAATAGTTTTTTTTCTTTCTTTCTTTCTTTGAAGACGGAGTCTTGCTCTGTCACCCAGGTTGGAGTGTGGTGGCCCAGTCTCAGCTCACTGCAACCTCCACCTCCCGGGTTCAAGCGATTCTCCTGCCTCAGCCTCTCGAGTAGCTAGGACTACAGGCGCGTTACCACCACGCCTGGGTAATTTTTTTATTTTAGTAGATTTGGGGTTTCACCATGTTGGCCAGGATGGTCTTGATTTCCTGACCTCATGATCCGCCTGCCTCCCAAAGTGCTGAGATTACAGGCGTGAGCCACCACGCCTGCCCTAATTTTGTGTTTTTAGTAGAGATGGAGTTTCACTGTGTTGGTCAGGCTGATGTCCAACTCCTGACCTCAGGTGATCCTCCTGCCTTGGCGTCCCAAAGTGCTGGGATTACAGGTGTGAGCCACTGTGCCCATCCTTGTTTTGTATTTTCTAAAAGAGATGTATCTTGTTTAAATATTAAATTATAAGATATTCAGGCCTTGCAAATTGTCTGGATTACACTGTAAAAGTAATCATTTATGTGCAAATAATTCCTTGAGATCAATAGTTAAATGAGCTCAAGCTGATCTGACTAAATTGGAGAAGATACAAAATGAAGATGGGGAGGAAGTGGTGCCATAAGCAGCCTTTTTTCTTTGACCATTTTATATGCCTTTTTTTTTTTTTTTTTGAGATGGAGTTTCACTCTTGTAACCCACGTTGGAGTGCAATTGCTTGGCTTGCAACAACCTCCACCTCCCGGGTTCAAGAGATTATCCTGCCTCCGCCTCCTGAGTAGCTGGGATTATAGGCATGAGCCACCAAGCCTGGCTAATTTTGCATTTTTAGTAGAGACGGGGTTTCTCCTTCTTGGTGAGGCTGGTCTCGAACTCCCAACCTCAGGTGAACCATCCTCGTCGGCCTCCCAAAGTGCTGGGATTACAGGTGTGAGCCACCGTGCCCTGCCCGCCATTCGTTTTTTTTTTTTTTTTTTTTTTTTTAATTCTGACTCTTCTGTGGTGGAAACCAGCAAATACTTCACATAATTTAGGATGCTAATACTAGTACAGTTAAAAGAATGATTACAAAGCAGATACTATTTCAAATTCTGTAAAAATCTGTTTTTAATATCCTTCACTGGCTGTTTGTTCTGACTAGAAATGTTTTGTATATCTGAAAGCACCAGTAACTCATAGCCATATAATTTTTTTGGTAATATGTTCATAGGCAAGTGGCAAGAGTTAGTAGAAAGATTTCTCTAAGAATTTATCCTAAATCAGATTACACAGAGTTGGGGTAAGTGAGTATTGTGTTATTTTCTTTTGTATATTTGACAATGGGAACTTTTTGAAACTCAACTTCAGTGTAATTTTAAGTCACTAAATTTGTCCACAAGTTAATGATTAAACAGTTACTGAAAGTGGAGAACCTTGCCATTTTTCGGACTGCGTTTTGGGTCTTTGGCACTGTGGTTAGGTTAGCTAATTCGATTATCCACTCAAGTTTTACTCAGTTGGAAATATGTTTTTCTAGATGATGGTGCCTGTGCTTAGGTTTGAGAGGATATTTAAAATACGACTTTGTGTGCCATTGTTTGACAGTGGAATTAAGGGTAAAAATATTTAGATATGGAAGTGTGAAAATGTAGTTGCATTGTTTTCATTATGTTCTATTCCATTTCATTCTATTTTAAGAATAGCCTCAATTTATTTTTAGATTGTTACATAAGTACAAAATCCATTTGCTTTAGTGGGAGTTTTATTTTTATTTTAAAATGATAACCAATTAAAGGAGTTTATTATGAAATTCTAAGTAGCATTGTTTAAAATGTAAAATTACATTACAGAAACATTTGGAAAGGGGAGAATAAAAGAAAACAAAACACAAATGTTGCCAGTGCTGTAGGTGCTATTATTAGCGCTTTGGTGTAACTCATGGTCGTTTTCCTACTATTTTTATTATACAGTCATCTCTTGGTATCTGTGAAGTGGTTCCACAAACTCCCTCAAATACCAAAATCCTCCTATGCTCAAGTTCCCAATATAAAATAGTGTAGTACTTGCATTACAACCTTTGCACATCTTCCCATATACTTTAAAATCATCTTTAGATTACTTATAATACCTAACACAATGTAAATGCTGAATAAGTAGTTGTTAACATTGTATTGTTTAGGGAATAATGGCAAGAAAAGTCTGCATGTTCAATACAGATGCAACTTTTCCACTGAATATTTTTATTCCAAGGTTGGTTGAAGCCATGGATGCAGAACCCATGGATATAGAGGGCCTACTGTACTTGTACCATCTAGAGATAAGATTTGTATCTTGCATTTGTTTTAACATATCTGTTCTAAGGAATATCTCAGTCACCAGGCAAGTGCTGCAGTATAACTAGGTACTACGTCAGGTGCTAAGGTTAAGAGAGTATTTTCCTTCACTGACTCCTCACTCCGAGAATCCATTTTACAGCTTCATTGGTTTGGGTTATTCCAATTTTTTGATGTGAGTAAATAAATGACTTCTATTTGCCCAAAATAAAGCTTATATAGGCCTTATAACCATGCAAATGTGTCCATTAAGTTGGACTTGGAATGAGTGAATGAGTATTACTGCCAGTGTGTGTGTGTGTGTGTGTGTGTGTGTGTGTGTGTGTCTGTCTGTCTGTCTGTCTGTCTGTCTGTCTGTCTGTCTGCCTGCCTGCCTGCCTGCCTGCCTGCCTGCCTGGCTGCCTGTCTGCCTGTCTGCCTGCCTGCCTGCCTGCCTGCCTGCCTGTCTGTCTCACTTTGTCCCCTAGGCTGGAGTGCAGTGGTATGATCTCGGCTCACTGCAACCTCCACCCCCCGGGTTCAAGCGATTCTTCTGCCTCAGCCTCCTGAGTAGCTGGGATTACAGGCGCATGCCGCCATGCCCGGCTGTTTTTTGTATTTTTAGTAGAGACGGGGTTTCGCCATGTTGGCCAGACTGGTCTCAAACTCCTGACCTCAGATGGTCCACCCGCTTCAGCCTCCCAAAGTGCTAGGATTACAGGCATGAGCCACCGTGCCCAGCCACTACCAATTATTTCTCTTAATGGATTTTCATTGACCCTAACCCTGTAAATTCCATCACTTTTATCAAGGTGTATATTATAATAAGTCTATAATACCCAATCATGTAGTTGTGTGATTATTTTATTTTTTTGAGACAGAGTCTCAATGTTGCCCAGGCTGGAGTACAGTGGCACCATCTCAGCTCACTGTAAGCTCCGCCTCCTGGGTTCACACCATTCTCCTGCCTCAGCCTCCCAAGTAGCTGGGATTACAGGCGCCTGCCACTTCACCGGGCTAATTTTTTGTATTTTTCGTAGAGACGGGGTTTCACCATGTTAGCCAAGATGGTCTCGATCTCATGATCCACCCACCTCGGCCTCCCAAAGTGATGGGATTACTGGCGTGAGCCACCATGCCCAGCTATTTTTTTAACCAATATATTAGCTAGCTTTTTTCCCCAGAATAATTTTCCAAAAATACATTTAATAGAGAATAAAAGTTAAAAGAACTTTCAGTGGTTTAATGCTGTTACTTTTAATATTTCAAAGATCTGACTGCAGCCATGAGCAGCAATGAGTGCTTCAAGTGTGGACGATCTGGCCACTGGGCCCGGGAATGTCCTACTGGTGGAGGCCGTGGTCGTGGAATGAGAAGCCGTGGCAGAGGTGGTTTTACCTCGGATAGAGGTATTTTGTCGAATAGAAAAATTTGAAGTACTTCAGTATTTGTTAGTATCAAGACTGGTCTGACTAGCCGAATTCTTTGTTTTTGCTCAAAACAGGTTTCCAGTTTGTTTCCTCGTCTCTTCCAGACATTTGTTATCGCTGTGGTGAGTCTGGTCATCTTGCCAAGGATTGTGATCTTCAGGAGGATGGTAAGTATTTAACACTTCCTTTTCATACCCCTCTAGAGCTTGGAGAGGTGAGCACATGCAACTGTGTATAGCATTTCCACCTTTGAGGTTTTGTATTGTATAATTTAAAACGTAACACTTTGTAAAGGTTTTATAGTCTTGGCCTGTTTCTTTTCCTTATTGTTGAAGCCTGCTATAACTGCGGTAGAGGTGGCCACATTGCCAAGGACTGCAAGGAGCCCAAGAGAGAGCGAGAGCAATGCTGCTACAACTGTGGCAAACCAGGCCATCTGGCTCGTGACTGCGACCATGCAGATGAGCAGAAATGCTATTCTTGTGGAGAATTCGGACACATTCAAAAAGACTGCACCAAAGTGAAGTGCTATAGGTAAGGTGTCAGAATGTTGTTAGAAGAAAACTCATTGCAGAGATTCTTCCAGAGATGAATTAGCTATAAATGGAAGGGCCTTAGTAAATTCAGTGAAACTTAGCTGTGACCAGATAAGACCAATTTTCAGCATATGTAACTGGCAGTCTATCTGTATATAATTCTGTATTCTGCCCTGATATCCTGTGGCTTATGGTACCTGGGCAGTTTTCACAACTGGACTTTTTTAATATATAAAAGTAAGAGTGTTATAATTTGAAACTTCCAGAGACTTCATAGAAAGCTCTGTAATATACATAAATCTTTTATCATGTAACCAGAAATCTTTGCCTGTTTGTGACATGTAAGTGTATAATTTGATAAATGTTGTTGTGTACATATCTGTGAAACCTTAGGGGTTAATTGCATGAAAACAAAGATCAGGCGTTTTGTTCTGCATGGTGACTGTTGCTTTGGTAGACAGTTTTTTTCTGAGGCCCATTGTGAAAACTTTTAATTTCTTTTTTAGGTGTGGTGAAACTGGTCATGTAGCCATCAACTGCAGCAAGACAAGTGAAGTCAACTGTTACCGCTGTGGCGAGTCAGGGCACCTTGCACGGGAATGCACAATTGAGGCTACAGCCTAATTATTTTCCTTTGTCGCCCCTCCTTTTTCTGATTGATGGTTGTATTATTTTCTCTGAATCCTCTTCACTGGCCAAAGGTTGGCAGATAGAGGCAACTCCCAGGCCAGTGAGCTTTACTTGCCGTGTAAAAGGAGGAAAGGGGTGGAAAAAAACCGACTTTCTGCATTTAACTACAAAAAAAGTTTATGTTTAGTTTGGTAGAGGTGTTATGTATAATGCTTTGTTAAAGAACCCCCTTTCCGTGCCACTGGTGAATAGGGATTGATGAATGGGAAGAGTTGAGTCAGACCAGTAAGCCCGTCCTGGGTTCCTTGAACATGTTCCCATGTAGGAGGTAAAACCAATTCTGGAAGTGTCTATGAACTTCCATAAATAACTTTAATTTTAGTATAATGATGGTCTTGGATTGTCTGACCTCAGTAGCTATTAAATAACATCAAGTAACATCTGTATCAGGCCCTACATAGAACATACAGTTGAGTGGGAGTAAACAAAAAGATAAACATGCGTGTTAATGGCTGTTCGAGAGAAATCGGAATAAAAGCCTAAACAGGAACAACTTCATCACAGTGTTGATGTTGGACACATAGATGGTGATGGCAAAGGTTTAGAACACATTATTTTCAAAGACTAAATCTAAAACCCAGAGTAAACATCAATGCTCAGAGTTAGCATAATTTGGAGCTATTCAGGAATTGCAGAGAAATGCATTTTCACAGAAATCAAGATGTTATTTTTGTATACTATATCACTTAGACAACTGTGTTTCATTTGCTGTAATCAGTTTTTAAAAGTCAGATGGAAAGAGCAACTGAAGTCCTAGAAAATAGAAATGTAATTTTAAACTATTCCAATAAAGCTGGAGGAGGAAGGGGAGTTTGACTAAAGTTCTTTTTGTTTGTTTCAAATTTTCATTAATGTATATAGTGCAAAATACCATATTAAAGAGGGGAATGTGGAGGACTGAAAGCTGACAGTTTGGACTTTTCTTTTTGTACTTAAGTCATGTCTTCAATAATGAAAATTGCTGTTAAAAGGATGTATGGGATTTAGATACTTTTGCAAAGCTATAGAAAATTCACTTTGTAATCTGTTATAATAATGCCCTTGAGTTCTGTGTTCAGTCTGAACAGGTTTTTTGGTGGTGGTGGTTTTGTTTTGTTTTGGAGACGGAGTCTCACTCTTGTCGCCCAGGCTGGAGTGCAGGCTTGGCTCACTGCAACCTCCACCTCCCGGGTTCAAGCAATTCTCCTGCCTCAGCCTCCTGAGTAGCTGGGATTACAGGCACCCGCCACCACCCCCCGCTAATTTTTTGTATTTTTATTTTTATTTTATTTTTTTATTTTTTTTTGAGACAGAGTGTCGCTCTGTTGCCCAGGCTGGAGTGTAGTGGTGCGATCTCGGCTCACTGCAAGCTCCGCCTCCTGGGTTCGTGCCATTCTCCTGCCTCAGCCTCCTGAGTAGCTGGGGCTACAGGTACCCGCCACCGCGCCCAGCTAATTTTTTTTTTTTGTATTTTTAGTAAAGACGGGGTTTCACGGTGTTAGCCAGGATGGTCTCAATCTCCTGACCTCGTGATCCGCCCGCCTTGGCCTCCCAAAGTGCTGGGATCACAGGCGTGAGCCACCGCGCCCGGCCTATTTTTTGTATTTTTAGTAGAGACTGGGTTTCATCATGTTGGTCGGGCTGGTCTCCAACTCCTGACCTCAGGTGATCCACCTGCCCCGCCCCCCAAAGTGCTAGTGTTACAGGTGCGAGCCACCGTGTCTGGCCGATTCTGAACAGTTTTAATACCATTGCTATTTTTGTGTTTTTCCTGGGCCTTTTTTTTTTTTTTTTTTTTTTTTGAGACAGTCTCGCTCTGTTGCCCAGGCTAGAGTGCAATGGTGCAATCTCAGCTCACTGCAACCTCCACCCCCCACCCCCACACCCCGTTCAAGTAATTCTCCTGCCTCAGCCTCCCAAATAGCTGGGATTACAGGTGTCCGCCACCACACCCAGCTAATTTTTGTTATTTTTAGTAGAGATGGGGTTTCACTGTGTTGGTCAGGCTGGTCTCCAACTGTTGCCCTCAGGTGAGCCACTGTGCCCCACCTTTTCCTGGGTTTCATAAGGATCTGAAGTGGTGGATTCCTTGTTTTTGCTAGTGTCTCATTTAGAGTTGAGATGGACCTTAAAACTCATCTGTTTTAACTCACTTTTTAATAGATGAGTTAAACTTAATTTACTTAAGGATGTACAGTTAGAGCCTGGAACTTCAACCATTATTCACTCCCCATGCCCTGTTTCCCCCCACTTCGAAATTAAATGCGGTTAGCATCATATAGTTCATTTTCCCCCTCCATGCTGCTGTGTGATTCTTGACTTTGGGTATGAGTTTTTCATCCTTCATGCAGGGTTCTGTCAGTTCATGGTATAGTGATTCAGTGTTAAAATGGTGGTGTCTCAGCTGTGCTGTGCACATTCCAACCTTGTCAAATTAATAGTCCTGAGCAAGCAAGAAAAAGAGGTAATAACATACCCATTTCTTTATGAATATAAGCTTATAATATTTTTTCATGTGCTATTTTTACTGAGCAAATTGTATGTCTCACATGTTAACACAATAAATATCTTGACAATTTTATTTTCTACCATATGTATGAAACAGCATAAGGAAAGACTTTTTTTCGAAGGCATCACTGTTAGGTTGGGGGAAAGATTTATTTTTGAAGGCATCACTGTTAAATGAGGTTTGGGGGCTGGTGTGCACATGGAGTTATTTCCCCCCAAATTCTGGGCCTCATGTAGGAAAACCTAAAACATAGCAAATGGGATATGTTGTTATGGCTCTTCAGGTCAGCTTAGTTCTCATTAATAATACTTTCTCCTGCGTTAATCACAGCTTTGTGTGTTGGGAAGGGAAAAAGTAAAGTGGGTTGGTTAAAATTTAGAACTCCTTTGCTTCATGCACCCATTCCTTGTGCTGAATTTGTAGTACTTTAGTTGCTTTGTGAGACCTTTTGAAACAACATAATTAAGGACCTATTCACAGGAGACTACAAAGTGTTCCTTTATAAGATAAAATTTATTTGCATTGACCTTGATGACTGGAAAGCAAATGCAACATGAAAATGTGTATTTTACAGAGAAATCCGGCTAACTAAAAGGAGTCACACTGGGCGTGGTGGCTTATTCCTGTGATCCCAGCACTTTGGGAAGCCAAGACGGGTGGATCATGAGGTCAGGAGTTCGAGACCAGCCTGGCTGACATGGGGAAACCCTTGTCTCTACTGAAAATGCAAAAATTAGCCAGGTGTGGTGTCACACGCCTTGATTCTCAGCTACTCAGGAGGCTGAGGCAGGAGAATACCTCGAACCAGGAGGCAGAGGTTGCAGTGAGCCAAGATTGGCGCCATTGCGCTCCATTCTGGGGAACAGACAGACTCCGTCTCAAAAAAAAAAAAAAACAGTACAATGAACCCCCCATGTGTTCTCGATCTAGAGTTAACAATAGTTTGAAAGTAAGTTATAGACGTGACATCACTTTATCATGCATCTTATAAGATGTTCTCATTACCACAGTACCATTATCATACTTAATGTATCTAAACATTCCCTAGTATCTGATATCTAATACTATATTCAAATAGCATAATTGTGTCTAAGAAGTGTTATGTAGCTACGTTTTCCAAACCAGGATCCAGTCAGCATTTATGAGTTGCATTAGGTTAATTTGTTTCTTTTTCTTACTTTGAGAAGGAGTCTTGCTCTGGAGCTCAGTGGCATGATCTTGGCCCACTGCAACGTCCGCCTCCTGGGTTCAAGCAATTCTCGTGCCTCAGCCTCCTGAGTAGCTGAGATTACAGGTGCCTGCCACCAAGCCCAGCTAATTTTTTTTAGTAGAGACAGGGTTTCACACTGTTGGCCAGGTTGGTCTCTAACTCCTGACCTCAAGTGATCCGCCCACCTCAGCCCCCCAAAGTGCTGGGATTACAGGCGTGAGCCACTGTGCCCGGCCAGGTTAATCGGTTTCTTTAGTTTGTCTTACTCTCCTAACTTAACTGTTAGGAGGCTACAACAGTTTTTTTGAATGTCCTCTATTTACTGGTTTTCTTACGGTACCGTTTAACTTGTTTTTCTATATCTCTGTATTTCCTGGTCTGGAGGCTAAATTATTAGGTTCAGCTTAAAGTTTTTGCCTTTTTTTTTTGGACAGAGTCTTGCTATGGGCACCCAGGCTGGAGTGCAGTGGCTCAACCATAGCTCCCTGTAGCCTTCAACTCCTGGGCTCAAGGGATCCTCCCACTTTCAGCCTCCATAGTAGCTGGGACTACGGGCGTGTGCCACCAAGCCCGGCTAATTTTTTAATTTTTTGTAGAGATGAGGTCTTGCAGCCAGGCACCGTGGCTCACGCTTGTAATCCCAGCACTGGGAGGCTGAGGCGGACGGATCACCTGAGGTCAGGAGTTCAACACCAGCCTGGCCAACATGGCGAAACCCCATCTCTACCAAAAATACAAAAATTAGTGGGGTATGGTGGCAGTTGCCTGTAATCCCAGCTACTCAGGAGGCTGAGGCAGAAGAATCACTTGAACCCGGGAGGTGGAGGTTGCAGTGAGCCAAGATGGTGTCACTGCACTCTAGCTTGGGGGATAGCGCGAGACTGCCTCCAAAAAAATGAGGTCTTGCTACGTTGCCTGGGCTGCTCTCAAACTACTGGCCTGAAGTGATCCTCCTGCCTTGGCCTCCTAAAGCACAGGAATTACACGCAAGAGCCACTGTGTCCAGCCTAGTAATTCTTTAGTGGCATGCATAACTCTGTGTTTAATTTTATTCACTTAAAATTAGCCGGGTGTGGTGGCGGGCACCTGTAGTCCCAGCTACTGGGGAGGCTGAGGCAGGAGAATCGCATGAACCCGGGAGGTGGAGCTTGCAGTGAGCCGAGGTCCTGCCACTGCACTCCAGCCTGGGCCACAGAGCAAGACTCCGTCTCAAAAAAATTTTTTTTTCTTCACTTGATGAAAATATTTTTTCTAATTTGTTTTTTTGAATCAAGATCCAAATGCTCTCTATACATGTGTTTCATAATGTCTCTTAAGTGTCTTAAGTCTCTAATAGTTTCCTGTCTTTACTGAAGAAAACCTGAGGTTGATTCTATGACCTATATTTGGCTGATTGGTATCATTGTGATATTGTTTCACATGATTTTTAACCCCCGTGGTTTTTGTAAAATGGTAGATTCAGAAGGTTGATTTTACATATATATAAACCTATATACATAGGTTCTGTTTTTTTTTTTTTCTTTCTTTTTTGAGACAGAGTCTTGCCCTGTTGCCCAGGTTGGAGTGCAGTGGCGCTATCTCGGCTCATTACCTCTGATTCCCAGGTGATTCTCCTGCCTCAGCCTCCCAAGTAGCTGGGATTATAGGTGCCTTGCCACCATGGCAGCCTGGTTTTTTTTTTTTCCTTTGTGTTGGAGTCTTGCTCTGTCGCCAAGGCTGGAGTGCTGTGGGAGCGTGATCTTGGCTCACTGCAACCTCCACCTCGCAGGTTCAAGCAATATACCTGGCTAACTTTTGTATTTTTAGTAGAGGTAGGGTTTCCCCATGTTGGCCAGGCTGGTCTCGAACCCCGGACTTCAAATGATCCGCCTGCTTCGGCCTCCCAGAGTGCTGGGATTACAGGCGTGAGCCACTGCACCTGACCTCTTTTTCTTTCTTTTAGACAAGAATATATCATAGGAGATGCAGTGTGCTTACTGTTGCATCATCAAGAGGTGCAAAATCTCAGGTTTTAGTTTTGGTGATCATAATCAGTTGGTTCGGTGATTTCAGTTTTGTCCATTCATCTTGAAGTTCCCCATTAATCTTGTACTAAGTGGTTTTTACGGTTTGAGAGCCATGGATGATAGATACCCTGGAAGACTTCAGTTATAAGGAACAATTAATGGAAGAATTCTAAATCATTTAAAATGCAAGACTCCCAGGAATTAATGTGTGCTCATTCTTTTCTTTTTTCCTTCCGTCCGTCCGTCCCTCCCTCCCTCCCTCCATTTTTTTTTTTTTTTTTTTTTTTTTGACAGAGTCTTGCCCTGTTTCTCAGGCTGGAGTGCAGTGGCACAATCTCTGTTCACTGCAACCTCTGCCTCCCAGGTTCATGCAATCCTCCTGCCTCAACCCCCCTAGTAGCTGGGATTACAGGTGCCCACCACCAAGCCTGGCTAATTTTTTTTTTTTTTTTTTTTTTTTTTTTTTTTTTTTGAGATGGAATCTCACTCAGTTGCCCAGGGTGGAGTGTAGTGGTGCTATCTTGGCTCACTGCAACCTCCGCCTCCCGCGTTCAAGTGATTCTCCCACCTTAGCCTCCCAAGTAGCTGGGATTAACAGGTGTGCACCACCACGCCCAGCTGATTTTTGTATTTTCAGTGGAGGCAGGGTTTCACCGTGTTGGCCAGGCTGGTCTTGAACTCCTGACCTCAGGTGATCCACCCACCTTGGCTTCCCAAAGTGCTGGGATTACAGGCATGAGCCACCGCACCCGGCCCTATCTCAAGCTTCTTAACTGCACCTGCTAAATCCCTTTTGCCATGTAAGGTAACGTACCAACGGTTTCAGAGATTAGGATGTGGACATTTTGGGGGGCTGTTTTTCTGCCTGCAATACCTGCTCTCCAGTGAATCCATGTTTAGTGGAGGACAACATTTGAGGCACTTACATGGATGCTAGGGGACATATATGTGAATGTTAGGCAAAAGTGCTGCCTGAAGCCAGAAAATACCTTTTTAATATTAGTTTTTTTCACCCAATTTGATGTGTTATTGTATCCAACTTAAAATACATGAACTAATAAAATCAGATTTTTTTCACCTGTGTGGTTGCTGTTCAGGAATGTAGGCTCAATGTTGTCTCACTTTAGCATCTGTATGTGAGATTTTCTAATTTTTGTAATCCGATGTAAATCACAGCAGCTTTGTTGGCCAAATCCAGCCTGCTGGCCAGTTTACAACTGCTGCTTTAGGATTAGTGATGTGATCCAATGACAGATCATAGTTGGGATTGGAATCCCGGATGTTTAAACTGTCTCAAAGGGTAAGTAGGCATCAACCAGTCAGATTAGTCAAGTGGCAGGGGGGATAAAGGACGGGGTGCTGCAGGCAAAAGGAGCATCATGAAGAAAGGCAAGATCAGTGTGAGCAGAGAAAGGAAGGCCATTTAGCAGACTGGCAAGATAGGTCTGATTCTTACTGGTTGCAACCCTAAACAATTTTACATAAATCTTCACATAACTAAAGATTTAAGTGGGCCGGAGGCAAGGCCTTATTCTCATCCACCCAATGATGTCACCAAACACTAAATCTTGTCTCCTGAGCTCTAAAGTGGCTGACAGTTGGTATTGCCTTTTGTCTGACATCCAGCAGGATCTATTTTCTCCAGCATTGCAAGCAGATCTCAAGACTCATTCTGACTAGGTCAGCTTGGGTCTTAAACCCACCAGTCACTATGCCTAGGGAGACTGGATGGATGGATTAGCTTAATCTAGTGCTTGATCCATACTTAAAGCTGGGGATGCAGTTGCCTTCCCCACAACCAGAGGGCTCCCCAAATGGAACTGAGATAAGTGGGTAGGGGGAGCAGATGCTAGGACAACATAGCTAACACCTCTTGAATCCTGCTAATATGTGATCTCTGCATCCTAGAGTCAGGGACGTAATGGATAAAGGTGGTATGGACATGTTGAGAAGGCCTCATTTGAGTGAGGAATGACCCTGCTTGTTTCAGATCAGCTATTTAAGGTAAAAGTGAAGCTGCTTGAACAAAAGACCCCCAAATGCAGAGGCCTTAACAAGACATGTTTTTATTTTTCTCATTTTGCAGAGCTCAGTTTTCCAGAGCTGGGAGGGGGGGAACTCTGGCATCTTCACAATACTTCCATTTCTGAATTCAGGTTGGCTGATCCCATGGACACCTCTCAGCAGAGAAAGGAAAAGGGCAAGGGATTATATTTTTGTCATGGCTTCATCTAAGTGACACACATTCCTTTGACTCGATTCTTATTGGCCATAATCATAAACCAGACAGGTGGGAGGATGGGGTCTGTAGTGGGTGGTCATATGCCCACTTAAAACTTGTCACATTTCAGGTATGAGATTGTGCTGACTATTCTAAGTACTTTTCCTGTCCTGTCTGATCCTCAACCACATGTCAGCTGCTTCTCTCTTTGGCTTGTGCCTCCTGGCTGCTGCTAGGGTGCCCATCACTAGTTAGGTCCCGTGGTGGAGGGAGTCCCTGCAGCTGAGGCACCATGCTTGAAAGGGGAAAGCGGCTGTAACCGAATTTGCTGCGGGCCCTCACCTGAATTCCCCACCACAGTTCCCCTCATTGCTGACACCATGCGGGAGTAACCATCAGAACGTCTCCTACCAGGGACCTCTCCTGTCTTCCTGGTCTTTGTCTAACGATCTTCTGGTCCCAGCGATGTGCTCAGGACAGTGACCGCACTTCTCCAACCACCCTCCTCCCCTAAGTGGCACTTTTTGCCTGGAACTTAAATTTTTATTTTAAAAGAGGATGACCTCAAGCATCGTCCAGCTCTGAAAGGCCCCGCGATTCCAACAGACCAGCTCAGAAAAACTAGAAATGGCCCTAAGAGGTGACAAGGAAAAGTGAAGGAGTTTACGAAGCCCGGCCAGCTCCAACTCCTGCAGGACGCACACTCCAGCTCCCACTAGGGGAGCTGTCGGGGCCGTAGATCCCTCGTCGCAGAGATGAGGTCGAGTAATTTCCAAAAGGGGATATTTGCTCTCACAGAGGAACCAAGGAAGCCGGTGGGATTAGAGTAGCGGCAATCACTCAGCCTTCCACATAACCGCGCCCAGCGCCGCCTGCTCCCGCAGTACCAATAGTGAACACAAGACATTTAGTACTCCTGTTTCCAGAACTAAGACCCGCCGCCTGGGCTGAGTCCGAAAACCGCCAGTCCCTCTGCGAAAGCCCCATCACACGTCTGCGTGTGATGACGCCGCGTGCCGGCGCTACCGGAAGACCGCCTGACGGAGCGCCAGAATTTTCTCTCCCAATCCCCGGCCGGATCTCCCTTTCACTTCCGGTCCTCCCTTTCACTTCCGGTCCCTTTCTTTTACGTTTCCGACAAAACATCAGGCTCTGTGGGCAGTTAGAATCCTCAGTTCCTGCGAGCGTCGGCTTCGTCCGGGCACTTCCAGTACTCTCATTCACTTCCTGTCCCTTTCTTTTACGTTTCCGACAAAACAGTGTCTGTGGGCAGTTAGAATCTTCAGTTTCTGTGAGCGTCCGCTTCGTCTGGGCACTTCCGGTACTCCCATTCAGTTCCGGTCCCTGTCTTTTACGTTTCCGGCAAAACATCAGTGTCTGTGGGTAGTTGGAATCTTCAGTTCCTGTGAGCGTCGGCGTCTTCTGGGCCTGTGGAGTTTCTTGGACAGGGGCCGCGGGGCTCCAGGACGGCGCCCTTAGCGACACCATGGTGAGTAGGGTGGGCGGGTGAGGGAGCGAGTGGATGGGCGGGCGGGCGGGGGGGCGCCCAGTCCACCTGGGGCGCTCATTCGGTAGAGGCTCAGACGTGCAGTGCTGAGGGCTTCAAGTTCCTTGGTGTAACGAGGGGATTCTCTTCCTGCCTCCATTAGCTGTCACAAATTGGAAAACTGGAAACTCGGGAGCCGCGTTACTGTCCTGGACAGTGTCTTAATCCCGATGAAGCTCTTTAGGTTAACCTGAGGGAAATTAAGACACAGAGAAGCACTAGGTCCCGCTCCGAGTTACGGTGCATAGTGTGGGCCGGCTGTTTGTCCCTAAATACCACAGAGAAGATTAAGAGCAGTTGTGACTATATGTTTCTGGGATTATTTCATTTATGTCCGTTCTCAGTCTGCTCCATAATATACAGACATCACGAGGGTAGGGTCTTTTCCTTATTGCTTCCTTAATGTCTGACACAGAGTCGTTGCAGATGTTCAATAACTATTGAATAAATGAATGGCATAGACAGAAAGTGTTCTATGAGGGTGTGCTCTCTGTGGTCTGGCGTCATTTGTTGGTTTCTTCATTTCTTCAAGAAGCATTTACGACGTGTAAATTTAAGAATACACGTAGTGCCGGTACAAAGATGATTGGTACCGGCACTACGTAATATTGGCTACTGTATTATTTTCATTAAGTGAAGCCCCTATAAGAAACACTGGGCGTCATGGTTAGGTTATAAGAGATATATTGGAAGCCATTGTAGATTGATGAGCACAAGCTCCCAAGAAAAAGAGAGAAACCAGTGGAATAGAAGTAGCCGTTTCGCGGGAGGCTGAGGCAGGAGAATGGCGTGAACC